>NC_000006.12:15666060-15817575 GCF_000001405.40 Homo sapiens
GGCAAAATGAAAAAAAAAACAAAGCTTTTAAGTACAGTTTGAGAACCAACATCAGTATGGAAGCTATTGACCTAATCTTAATTCAGGAATTGGTTGAGAGTTGATTGTTGTTTGTTTGGGGTTTTTTTGTTTGTTTTGTTTTAAGACGGAGTCTCCCTCTGTCACCTAGGCTGGAGTGCAGTGGTGCAATCTTGGCTCACTGTAGCCTCCACCTCCTGGGTTCAAGTGATTCTCCTGCCTCAGCCTCCTGGGTAGCTGGGATTACAGGCTTCCGCCACCACGCCCAGCTAATTTTTGTATTTTTAGTAGAGACAAGGTTTCACTATGTTGGACAGGCTGGTCTCAAACTCCTGACCTCAAGTGATCCGCCTGCCTTGGCCTCCCAAAATGCTGGGATTACAGGCATGAGCCACCGCGCCCAGCAGAGAGTTGATTTTTTGAGAGCATATTAGTTGCGCCCAGGAAAAGCTTTGGTGATACAACGTTTGGGGTGAGCACCAAAGCTGCTAAGAAGTTTCCTGAAATAGTGCTTCCCTGACCAGCAGCAGCCGCATCATCTGGGAGCTTCCTGCAAAGGTAGAATCGTAGGCCCCAGCCAGCCCTACTGAATCAGAATCTGAGTTTTATTAAGACCCCCCGGGTGATTTTTATTCATGTTAACATTTGAGAAGCCCTACTCGTTGATGAAAGGGGGTTTCCTGTCTCAGCAGATTCTTATTGGAGACAAAGTGATAAATGAGGATTTGGCGGAGTTAGAACCAAAGAGAAAGATGCTATTAAAGAAGGGGTGGTACGAAAGAAACCACCATCAGAGCGAACAGGCAACCTACAGAATGGGAGAAAATTTTTGCAATCTACTCATCGGACAAAGGGCTAATATCCAGAATCTACAATGAACTCAAACAAATTTACAAGAAAAAAACAACCCCATCAACAAGTGGGCAAAGGATGTGAACAGACACTTCTCAAAAGAAGACATTTATGCAGCCAAAAGACACATGAAAAAATGCTCATCATCGCTGACCATCAGAGAAATGCAAATCAAAACCACAATGAGATACCATCTCACACCAGTTAGAATGGCGATCACTAAAAAGTCAGGAAACAACAGGTGCTGGAGAGAATGTGGAGAAATAGGAACACTTTTACACTGTTGGTGGGACTGTAAACTAGTTCAACCATTGTGGAAGTCAGTGTGGCGATTCCTCAGGGATCTAGAACTAGAAATACCATTTGACCCAGCCATCCCATTACTGGGTATATACCCAAAGGACTGTAAATCATGCTGCTATAAAGACACATGAACACATATGTTTATTGTGGCACTATTCGCAATAGCAAAGACTTGGAACCAACCCAAATGTCCAACAATGATAGACTGGATTAAGAAAACGTGGCACATATACACCATGGAATACTATGCAGTGAAAAAAATGATGAGTTCATGTCCTTTGTAGGGACATGGATGAAGCTGGAAACCATTATTCTCGGCAAACTATCGCAAGGACAAAAAACCAAACACCGCATGTTCTCACTCATTGGTGGGAATTGAACAGTGAGAACACATGGACACAGGAAGGGGAACATCATACACTGGGGCCTGT
The DNA here is from genome assembly GCF_000001405.40 of Homo sapiens. Lineage (NCBI taxonomy): Eukaryota > Metazoa > Chordata > Mammalia > Primates > Hominidae > Homo > Homo sapiens. Next base: position 15,667,665 of record NC_000006.12, read on the forward strand.
TGTGGGGTGGAGGGAGGCGGGAGGGATAGCATTAGGAGATATACCTAATGTTAAATGACGAGTTAATGGGTGCAGCACACCAACTTGGCACATGTACCCTAAAACTTAAAGTATAATAATAATAAAAAAAAAGCAGGAAAAAAAAGAAGGGGCTGTAGAACCCAGAAAAGTTCATACCATTTCATTGGCAGAGCTCTTTTAGAGTAATTGGAAAGGGACTATGGTTAATTGCTTTGCAGGAACCTGACTTAGATTTGTAAAGATATTTACAGTGTGTTGTTATTATTTGTGATGTTTTTAAAAAGCCAACATGTAAATATTTTTGATATCTTTAATTTTTAAGAGTTTAATGGTTACAGAAGAATCCATGTAAAAGCTGTAAATGTTTCTCGTGAAGCAATGAGTATTTTTAAGAATGAGGTAAGCTAGATAAAGCTGGAAAGGTGATATCAGCACAGCATTTTGAAAAGAAAAGCAGAGACAGAAATCAGGGAGGTGAAGGAGGAGAGTTCCAACCTCAGAGAGTAAAGATTAGAACGCAGCTGAAGAACAGGAGAGAAGGGGGTAGTTAGAGAATATCAAGGTCGGAAGACAGAAGCTATAATAATAGATCTAGACGGCAAGCACTGTCGGGAGTGACAGCAAGGTTGGAAATGAGTATTTTACCTGAGCTGAACGGAAAGAACAGTAAAAGGATCTCAGCTGCATCTATTTGTGTTCCAAAATTGTATCCCACTGTCATAAAATGACTGGGCACCTAACCTTATCTTTTTGCTCAGATGAAAAAAGAAGGCACTACACTGTTGCATTAAAGGAGGAAAACGTTTATTTTTTGTTAATATGTGTTTAGATCTATATAATCTATAAAGATACATTACAGGAGGAAAACTTTTATTTTTTGTTATTCTATGGTTGGATCTATATGGTCTATAAGATATCCATAAACGACCAAGTGACTCCATTCATCAAAGCGTAGGGACTCTACATGAGTAAAGGAAACCACGTCCTGTACTCTTACAAATAGATGGTTCCCCCAGAGAGAATACATCTCAGAAATCACATCTTCTGAACTACTGTGCCATAGAAATATATTTGTGTGGGAAAACTTAATAACAAACTGAAACTCTTTAATAAGAATTAGTGGCCAAAAAAAAAAAGTTTGAGACAATGATTACTTAGAGCTAACTATCAGGTCAATACATGCTGGTGGGGGAGCCGTAATAATTGATCATTAGTAGTTAAAATAATTGATGATTATAATTGCAGTTAAGTAATAGTTTTCAAGCCTGGCTGCACCTTCAAATCACATGGGGAGCATTTTAGAAATACCAGTGCCTGACCTCAGCACCCCCAGAGCACCTGGTTTAACTGGTCTAAGGTGATGTCTCCTCCTTCATGCGGTTTAAAAGCTTCCCTGGTGATTCTAACATGCAGGCAGGGCTGGGAACCACTGAGCTAAGCAGAGAGACTTAAGCTGCCCTGCAGGGGAAGGCAACGATGACTTCAGAATCCATGAACTTCAGGAGTCAAGGCTGCAGTTTGTCCTCACCTTTCCCAGCTCATTCAAACAGGCACTAGCCCCATCACTTTATTGTACCCAAACCCCTGTAGCCTCCATCTCTGCTGGCTGGTTCTGAAGGCAACAGTGTGAGGCAGGGGCAGAGGAGAAAGCTAAACCAGGCCTGGATAAGTGAGGCAGCAGCTGAGATGTGCTCGGGCTTCCCCAGGGGTTGTGTTTTGTTGTTGTTGTTTTGTTTGTTTTGTTTTGTTTTTTCAAAAATACCTACTCAGCAAAGAGAGGAAATCCAAGAACCAACTGTGCCTGGAGACTTAGCCAGGCCTTCTGGAACTGGAAGACTCTTGTTGCCAGTGATGGGGTTCAGAACATGCTACCCCAAAATATGGTACCCTGGGCATTTGCGAAAACCACAGAAGCAGGTTTTGTCTGACACACATCCCCTTCTCCCCTGAAGCAGGTCCTAAAACCCCAGAAAGGATTTCCCAGCCTTCTCCTGTAGCAAGTCACATGAGCAGTACCCCATGTGAAAGGTACCATCCTTATACATGGAAGAAAGGAGCTGAAGACTAAAAGATGCCAAGAAGAATCTGAACAAACAAGTCTTGCTAAGTTTCCCTCCATTTATTACCGCTGAGCCATACCTTTGTGTCCTCCTAGCAAACTTCTCTATGACTGTCCATTTTTTATCAAACCTAACCATAAAAATACACAAGATTACCTGTTCCTTTGGGTCTTCATTTCCTTATGAAGGCTCCCGTGTCACATTAAACTTAATAAATTTGTATGCTTTGCTCTTGTTCATCTTTTTGTTATAGGGTTCCCAGCCATGAACCTGAGATGGTAAGGAAAGCTATTTCTTCTCCGCTATACCATTGGGGAAACAACAAACCCTCTAGTGTCCTAACAGGAGCTCTGGTAGCTGTCATTTCAGAGAAACTGTCTTGTTTCCTCTCCAAGTGACTCCTCCAGTCCCATTTATCTTTCTGACTCTCCCTGCTTCTACCTTTTCTTCTTTCTACTCTCTGCTTTCCCATATAACATTGGCCACCTCATGGCTTCAGCTTAACAACTCCTCTCTCCAAGTCTCGTGGTTTCTGCCACTGCTACCAACTACACCGCTCCCTGGGTGACCAGAAGAAGGATCTGAATGCTTTCACCAGTCCTCTTTTACCCCAGAATGCCTCACATAAGCAAAATCCTGTACCAGGCCACCTCATGCTGTGCATGTCTGCCTGTATGCCCAGTACCACTCCCTGGCCAAGTCTACGGTGACCAGGGTTGCAGAGTCAAACCGTACAAAACATGTACAAGAAGTGCTTTTGGCCTTTTTTCTCCCTTAGAGGGGGACTCTGAGGGGCTGTTTCTGCGAATTTGCAAGGGGGTGAATAAACCCATAATGGCTAAATTCGAGATAATGTATTCAGTGTGTTACCTGGTAATGTTTTCACTTGTGTTGCTTCAATTCAGAGGTTTAGACAAAATAAATGGTAAGTTTTCAAACATTGCCTTTGTGATATGCTGAGAATCTCAACAAGGGAAGGAGGGAAGTAAACTAGTTCTTATGTACAGAAATATTGGGTTCCTTTGCTTCTATGTATTGTCTCTGTTTATACACAAATAAAAGTGAACAGATGTACCTGTTGTCTTAATAAACCATTTTTTATGCCAATGAGGAGCTTGTGGCATATACTGAATAATCTAGTCCTCTGCTACCAGAATTCTGTTCTTGAAATGAGTGTGATTACTTTCCTCATGCAACCCAAATTAGCACCACTCACCACCCACTGGTACCTAGGGAGGAAGCATGGCATTGAGGGGGAATTAGCTGATCAATGGAGGACTTTTAATAAAACCTCAACTTTTGAAAATAGTGGAAATGTCAAAGGTGAAACAGTATCTAAGAGCAGGATGCTCATCCTTCCTCTTACCCCCTTGTTCCACCTGGAGGCTGCAGTGAAGAGAAAACATGAGGCTGTTAAGCAGAGCACGACGGGGAATAGGGCAGGGGAGAACACAGGTGCACACCACATCTCCTGATTTCCCATTGCTCCCTATTATTCATCCCTCTGTCAGGCAAGGCTTTTCTCCTTATGGTTTTCTGCAGTGTCACCTACTCAACAAAACCACATTGTTAAGGCCCCACCTATACTGGGTGCTCTACTAGATGCTGACAGTAATGGTATTCATATTGTCTTAAATTATTGTTATACTAATGATGATGGCTATGATTTACTGAGACTTCCATAGTGCCAAACAGGATTCTAAGCACTTTGCACATATCATTTATCCCCTTTTACAGATTAGGAAATAAAGTACTGTAAGACACATACCAATAAGGTACTGAAGAGCTTCTGATCTAGAGGTGAGACAATATCCACAAGGTGATTAGTGTTTTAAATATGGCTGTGATCTGCTGGGTGTGGTGGCATGTGCCTATAGTTCCAGCTACTTGGGAGGCCAAGGTGGGACAATTGCATGAGCCAGGGACATCGAGGCTGCAATGAGCCGTGATCATGCCACACACGATCTAGCCTGGGCAACACAGCGAGACCCTGTTTCAAACAAGAATTAATAAATACATCTGTGACTGCCCAGATGAAGAGTGACTCACCTTGTCTTTGCTTTGGAAGAAAGAGTCATCAAAGGGGGTCCATTGCTGGGACAGCCTTCAGAAATGTAAGTATCTCAGCATAAACTCCTGGAAGGTGGCTGCAACTGCTGTGGTGAGGTTTAGGCATCTGGGCCAGCCTCCAAAGCCAGCTCTCGGCAAATGCCACCTGGTTATGTGAAAATCAAGGCAGCCGAGCCAGTTCAGCCCCTCAAGCCTTTAGGCGGGTTAGCCAGGGCATCACCTCCCTCACAGACTGGCAAGACCCTGGGGGAGGGGAGACAGAGAAGACAAAGAGTCCACCAGAGCAAGGCAAGAGTGGGCGATACCCATGCCAGGCACCCAAGCCAGGTGCTCTGCCTCCTGGAAGAGAGTTGGGAGAGGGTTACATGGCCCTTGGCTGGAATCCTGCTGTGGAGACTGAGGGGGAGGTGGGCAGGGGACTCCCCTTCATGGGAGCAAGAGGCTTCCCAGGGTACACGGGAATCAGAGACATGGGTGCGTGGAGGGTGAGCAGCCCTGGCTCTGAATGTAAAGAGGAGAGGGGCTCTGGCTGGGAAATCTGTCCACCCTGTTGGCCAAATCTGAATACCCTGCTTCTCATTTAGTCATAGACATCACCCCCAAATCCTCACCCAGCCTCACTTCCTCAAATCAGAGGACTAAGGCACTGCCCATCTGTCAGCTGGTGAAACAGGATAGATTGCATCTTGGAGGTTAGCTGTGGGGGAGTGGCAAGTCAGAAATGTGTTACTGTCCCCATGCCATCTTGCTCATACTCCAGCAGGGTACAGTCTGGGAGCATGGGTCATGCTATTTTCTCTTCTTAAAATGCCTTGTCTACTCATAAGGAACCATAAACCATCCTGTCTTCATCTTTTAATATAGAATATTGCCACTAAATGTTTGTAATACTTTATTGCATTTTCATGATTGCAGCTCTAAATCAAATCAAATCTGGGAGCTTGTGCCACAGGCCAAATGACATTCAGCTGAAGATCAGAGATCCAGCCTTCAAACTGGTCCCTCTTTCCCTCCTCACTGTCATTTCTTTATGTTCTTTTTGCATTTGAGGCAAATGCATTTCACCCAAACCTGATGATGCGTTCTGAGAGGGATGAGAGTTTCCATTAACTCCCTATTTCACATCCATCACTACATTTAACCTCTCATATAAAGTCTCAAGTTCTTTGCCCTAAAAATAGCTAGGGGCTGAAATGGGAATTGAAGTGAGGATTAGTGTCAGCTGTGGTTTTGAGTATCAGAAATCCACGGATGGTAAATGCCAGTCAATTCTCCTTGCTCTCCTTCTGCTTGCCTTCATATCCATCCTGCAGGGCTGCATCCAGACACCTCCCCAGTCTTCCTAACTAGGATTCATCCACATTCATGAACACTAGATAGAAAAACCTCAGTGGAGCGCTACTTACCCTTTAAAACTTTCTGGAAAATTGGTCAATTTTCCTTTGGAAATTTGACCTTGCACAAATCTTTTGGAAAATAAAATTATAGGCTTCCTGTCAACAAACCCAATACAATGTGCCTTACCAACTTTTAGTATAAATGCAAAGCTACAATGGTTTATGCTACATAGATCCTGTTGAAATGAAACTTTTAAGTTCTAGCAATTTAAAATAACACACCAAAGACTTTTGTTCATTTCTCACAAAATCTAAACACACAGACACACACATTCATACCACAAATTATTTAAAGAAGTAGAAAGAAGTGGGTTGCAATAGATTCTCTGCATTGGTATTCATGTCTTTTTATTTAAACTTAATGAGGTCATGGCAATGTGGATTTTTTTTAACTTAGTTTACTGCGACCTACTGATATTTGATTTCTGTGTCTTCTATTTTGCCCAGCAGTAAAATTAAGCTTTTCATTTCCAGATGGTAAATGAATGGCACAGTTCTTAGTTGTGAACTTTAGCTTATGTGTTCATTTGACTAGAATAAATGAATCCAGAGAACTCCACTGTTAGTAGCCAATTAGTCATTAAACAACACAGAAACTCAAGTAAGTCACTATAATACCAGATGGTGACCCCATTGTACATTTGCTCTCTTAGCCTGGAGGTCGGCATTTGGGAAACTGCCATGCTTCTTAGTGGCATTAAGTTTCGTAGAGTTCAGAGCTAGAATGCCACATAGAGATGAATTAATCCTCTCATTTCACAGCTGAGACTATAGCTGCTGCACAGTGGGTACATAGATGCCAGCTGCCAGAAATAACTCTTCATTTTTACTTTGTTTTTAAAATCTACATCGTTTACTAATAAGGAAAAGTGAGGTACAGAAAGATTAATGCCATAAAGTGGACATTTGAAAAATTCTCAATCTGGCCAGGCACGATGGCTCACTCCTGTGATCCCAGCACTTTGGGAGGCTGAGGTGGGTGTATCATTTGAGGTCGGGGTCCGAGGCCAGCCTGGCCAACATGGTGAAACCCCGCCTCTACTAAAAATACAAAAATTGCTGGGCATGGTGGCAGCCACCTGTAATCCCAGCTACTCGGGAGGCTGAGGCAGGAGAATGGCTTGAACCCAGGAGGCAGAGGATGCAGTGAGCTGAGATCGCACCATTGCATTCCAGTCTGGGTGACAAGAGCGAGGCTCTGTCTCAAAAAAAAAAAAAAAATCTCAATCTGCAAAGCTGGAGTAATTTTGGGCTTAAATTCCAACAGTCATCTTGGTTTTCTAACAGTCCTTAACCTCATGATTAGCCACATAGATGATTTAAGATCAAGATACCATCAGGCTATAATCTCACTTTTTATAGTTTTGCTATATTAATAGAGACAGGAATAAGATACATTCATGGAAGGGGACATGCAGTTCCATTTTTTACACTGAAAAGTCATCATGTTATAGTTTTACAAATGTGCTCACACACATGCACACACGGAGTCCAGTTTGATTTAAACTCCAGTCTGGTCCCCTTCCCTTCAGAGGCTCAGGCCTGACCTAGGCTCTCTGGACCCTCTATGGAGAGGAGGACTACAGTAGAACTGGCCTCTGCTTTCACTTTTGTTCTTCTTCCCTCTTCTGGTTTTAGCTTCTCTTGGTGTGGCAGGGAGAAAGAGGACACACTGCGAAAACAGAAAGAAGTTTCACCTAACTGGGCATGTGATAGCCTCTGCAGAGAGCCCCGAGGTGACTCCCTCTCCCGCTCCCATCTGCAGTTTCCTGACCTGGGTAATCTGACTCCTCTCTTACCCCCTTAGCCTGTAGTTACTGAGGTGCCCTTGACCAGCAGACAGCCTTCTGATAGGAATACCTCAGAGGAGCTGCCAGTCGCTCATTGCCCCCAGGAGAGGGTAAGGTATCCTTCGGTTTGTTTATAAGCCCTGGTTAAACCCTTGTTTATCTGTACCCCACAGACACGGGATTGGAGCCAGTCAGTTAGTAAATCAGTCAGACTAAATAAAGACAGAGAGACAGACATGATAAAAGCCACTGGGCATCATTAAGGGCTTAACCGAATTACATGTGTGTGAGATGAATCTTGGCTTGATGATGGAACTCCCCAAGCCAGATTGCTGAGAATAAATCCAACGAGCAGGATCACAGAGGATAAATGATGCATTTTGCACAGTGCACACTCTATGAAAAAGTTGGGCTCCAAAGTTTCTTGTCAGGGTTTAGGGACCCAAGATGCATTTTTTCCCAAGCAACAAAGTTATAAATGGTGATTCAATAGCAAGGCCTCTTCGACAGAAGGCTGTTTCACCCCTAATGTGGCTGAATGACCATAGGAGCTTGAGTTCTAGGCCTAGAAGTTGGGGACCGTGTCCTTACTGGAGAGATTGAGAAGAAAGTGCTCCTCCCCTTTACTAGAGCCAAGGTCAGCTTTAATTGTTTTCCTCCACTCCAGGGGCTCTTGCACTTTGTCCTAAGCTCTTGCACTTCCCCTGGGTCAGCCCTGACTTCTCTAGAGTTCCCAAATCATCAACTTCCTTCATTTCCTTATTCAAACCCCATTGCCTCACTAAGACTAACAGGAAACCAAACAGGATTAGTTAGTTCAAACTAACATTTGATTTTCTAGCAGCCTTTTCCTTTCTGTAAGTGCTTAGGTCTTTGTAAAAGGGTGCTTCTGTGTTTGAGATATCGCCTGGCTATAGGAGTTTGGAGGATTCAAATGGGCTACAAGACAACAATAAATCTATTATTCCCAAGTGTTGTCTCAGACTATAATTACCCTTCTGTCTCAACTGCCTCTTAGCTTCTTGGGGCAAAGCAAGCTCACTTCTGTTTTATCAGGCAATACAGCAGCATACTACCATCCACATGCCTGATGATTTCTGCCACAGAGGCAAGATGCTCCATTTCACCACTGGGGTTAGTGTTCTCGCATGTTGATACTGACTTATGTCACAGATGTATGTTGCTTTCAGTAGTCCATCACCCTTTAACTGTCTTTGGGCAGAGCACTCATTTGGAGGAATTAGCTCTCTCCCATTGGATTATATTCCAGTGGGATTTTCAATCATGGTGCTCATTCTTTCTGCAGGCAATGGTCAGGCAAACGACTAGGGTAATTGCTATTTTCGTCCTTGAACTGAATGATGCAAAGACTGAAAATCTAGTGGAGATGTCCAGACAAGACCGTTTGGTCATTCCTGTCACTGGGAACTTCCAGAGATGTGTGGGCCTGTCCTTTTTGAATCCATCTTTTTTTTTTTTCTATCCTTCTGTGCCCCATATCCTTCCCAAAGAATTCCTTCTTGTTGAAGGTAGCCAGAATTGTATCAATTGCTTGATACAAATAACACTAACTGATAACAGTCCTCTACTTCCTCTGTTACTCTATCTGTACTTGAACTTAGGGACAAGATCTCGAAAAGAATGACACACTTCTTATTCCACTGAGGAACCTCACTCCTACTCCAAGTCCTATCTCAGTACTCCAACCCCAAAGCCAAACCTAGGAAGCCCTTGGAATGATTTGTTGTTTTTCTTGTTTGATTTCTAAAGGTTTGTTGGACCCTCAGTGGAGCATGGTTTGCCTTATCCCTGTGAATTATGAGGTTGGGATCTTCCATCTCCTCCTCCCAATCTTAGAAACTACTCTCCCCGCATTCCACTCATTTCTACCAGCCATGTTTCCCCAGAATTTACTTAGCAGATTTTATTGTATTTGTCTGCAAAGCTTGGTTATACTTGTTCACCCAAATAAATCTGTCATTGGTTGAATTTCTAACAGTGTAATAAAATGAACTGAAAAACTTCAGCCTGAGTAGGATGCTGCTTTGCATCATTTCCCAGTGAAGCAGAAGACAAAATTGTTTAGAGATGCTACAAATCTAAATAAGTTCAAGTTTCATTAGCCTCTGTCCATAAATGTGCTTGCTAGAAGCCTGCCATTTATTCAGTATATTCACATTACTAATTATATTACCTATATATTTTGAAACTAGTGTCAACTGCCTAGAATCCCTGGGTGAGGTTAAGGTGTTTCCTGACCGGAGTATCTTTTTGCAGTTACAGGCAAAATTCTCTCAATGAGTAGGCCAAGCATCTACATTCAAAAATTATAATATTTATTGAGCACATACTATGTACTATGCAGTATCTGCATTTTTATGGAAATCATCTCATTTTGTCTCTAGCAGCCCTATGAATAATGTCCGTCCTATTTCGCAGCTGAGGAACCAGAGAGATGACAAAACCAGCTCATGTTCAAAAAGACTGTAGAGTGAAGTCAAGAGTCAAAATCAAGCAGTCTGATGTCCTTTTCCAAGAAGGAAGGGAATGGATATTTTCATACTGAACTTCGTTGGCTTACAATAGGAGATTACCCTCTTGACCCAGGCTCTCGGTTCTTCAGCAAAATTAACTATAAAGTATAACCAAACATTTCTAAGTTTCCAAAATGAAGAGAAAATGTTTTGGGATGAGTTGAGTTGGCTATGTGATAGGTGATGTCCAAAGGTGGTCCCTCAATCAACTGTGTACCCCAGTTTTCACCCCCTGGTACAGTCTCCTCCCGTTGAATCTGGGCTGGCCCTATGGCTTGCCTTTTAACTTGCAAAAGTGACGCCTTTGTAACTTCTGAAGCTACTTTATAAGGAGTCTGGCAGTTTCTATCCGAGTCTCTTGAAAAGCTCACTCTGAGGAAGAAGTCTGAGACCGCCATACTAGGAGGAAGCCTAAACCAGTCATACAGAGAGACCACATGGAGAGAGAGAGAGAGAGAGAGAGAGTGATGTAGCCAACCATCTGCTCTTCCATCCATCCCAGCTGAGGCAGATTGCAGCTGAGCTTTTAGATGACTCTAGCTTCAGATGCCATCTTACTGCAGTCACATGAGAGACCCCAAGTGAGAATTGGTTGGCTGAGCTCAGTCAAGCATGAAACCACTAGAGATAATCATCATCATTTTAAGACACTTAGTTTCGGCATAGTTCGTTACGCAGCAATAGATATCTGGAACAGATGCCGAATGGAAGACAGACTGACACATGTTGAGACTATACTTTGTGCCAGATCTGGTGCTATTTTCTTTAGATATATCATGGGGTAAAATGATCAACATAATATGTTGGCACATTTTCTACCACATCACCTTCCCATATTGACAAGGAAAGCCCCATAATTTCCAGTTTAATTAGAACTCCCTTCTCTGCCAAACTTTATCCTCCCAAATAAACCATTGGTCTTTCTCTCTCAGAATGGTTTTTGCATACTTGTGATGCAGATTGACCATAGAAAAACAGACTCTGAGAGACTAGAATTGAAGAGAAAGGACTTCCCTAAAGAGGTAAAAATCACCTTTGTAATAAAGACAAGAAAGAGATGGAATGGATAGGTGGGGAGTGGGATGGGAGTGGCAGAAAAAGCAAGGAAGGGTGGAGAATGTTCTATGGTAGTAAGGTAGATAAGGAACTCCAGAAGCTGCTGACATGAGTGAACTTGGTGACTAAAAGCAGCAATGAGAAATATTGCAGCTGGTTATGAATTGGATTTTCTTCAGTGCTGAGAAACTTGAATAAAACTGGAATTGTTTCCCCCTGATTGGTTGCCTGAAAAGTCTGTGTTTCTCTGGGGCTGGACTAGATAGGTTGTGGCTTCAATTAGGGTTAGATGCATTATCATCTCCTGTAACCTTTCAATAATATCATGAAGCATGTCTTCTTGCCCTTGTTTTATAGATTCAGAAACTCAGGTTAAGAGAGGTTAAGTAACTTGTTTAAGGTCATACAGTAACAAGCAGTAGAGCCAATAATTTTAACCTAGGTTTGTTGACTCCAAAGTCCATGATTTCCCACTTCACCATTCCAGAGTAACTTCCCTGACATTATAACCTTTATTCATAATATCATCCTTTCTTCTATTGCTGAACTCACTTTATCTCGCATAAAGGCAGTGTCATTGGAGGAGGGGTGAGTGGGGCAGCAATGACCCATTTATATGAATCTTTTTTTTTTTTTTTGAGATGGAGTTTTGCTCTGTTGCCCAGGCTGGAGTGCGGTGGCGCAACTGTGGCTCATTGTAACCTCTGCCTCCCAGTCGCAAGGTGATTCTTCTGCCTCAGCCTCCTGAGTAGTTGGGATTGCAGGCACCCACCACAACACCCAGCTAGTTTTTGTAATTTTAGTAGAGACGAGGTTTCACCATGTTGGCCAGGCTGGTCTCAAACTTTTGACCTCGAGCAATCCGCCCACCTTGGCCTACCAAAGTGCTGAGATTACAGGCATAAGCCCCTGCACCTGGCCTATATGAATCTTATATGTACCATTCCCTGAATTTCCTAACAGTTTCTACAAGCAGGTTTTAAAAATGGCACATACTAATGTCAGATGATGTAATTTCTTAAAAGTCTGTTATGTGTTCTTTATCATATTCAATTCTGTTATGATGTATTAAGTGTTAAAGCAACTCATTTGATGGCACCTACAAAGAAGATAACATCCTAAGGTTATCTTGGAATGATACCTTTTAACAATAAGAGCTGCTGCTTCTGTTTATTATAAACCCAGATTAAAAAAAACTTGACAATAAAAGATTGGGTTTTGATTCCTTCTCTCTTTTTGGTGACAGCAGTTGCTCACTAACCTTTTCCCATCAGATCCAGATCTATTTCCATTTAAAAGGGAACAAAACTGTTTAGCATTCTCCTGGCACATTTGTGTCAGAATGCAGGTATGCTGCACAGAAAGAGATAAAAAATCTTTTTCTGTTATGATGATAAAAATATTCATCCTGAATTTCCATGACAAAAAAGTACAACTTTACTTCTTACTGATTGTATGCATTTCCTACTTAAAATATAAAATTATGAAATCTGAAATTTGCTGCTCAAACAGTAGCATATATACAACAGCAAATCATGATTATACAGAAATGCATACCTGGTGTGTCCTCACAGTCACCTTCTGGCAGTTTCACCTCTAGCAACACAGGCCAGAAAGTAGCAGGGAATTTCACACCAGCCAATCTGACTAGGTAACAGTTCTGATTTTCTAATTAAAGATTTGGGAGAAATGCTAAAATAAGAATTGGCAGTTATCTGTGAATCTCAGCTATTTGTGTTTTCCCCATGCCCCATCTCTGACCTTTTTAGACAGATGTCAGTATTAAAAAAAATAAATAAATAAATAACAGGAAGAAAGGTAGTACAGAGGGGGTAGGAGAAAATAGGCTTTGGTTGACCTGGCTCGAACCCTGGATCTCTCTTTTACTGGACAAGTGACTTTGGGCATTTCCTGAACATCTTTGAGGTTCTGTTTCCTCACCTGTAAAATGGAGGTAAATGTGCTTATTGTGAGCGTTCAAATGACACAATGGGTAATGCTATGTGTCTGGTACCAGCAACAGAGGAGGAGGACAAGAATTCACAGCTTGCTTCCTCTGCTACAATGGAAGCAGAAAGATGAGGCTATTAATTCCATCCTGCAGTCTTAAGGGTTGTATGTATCACTTTCTTAAATTTACTAATAAATGAGCCTCTTCAAGCACACAAAAGCCCACTAGACTTAGGACCAGAGACCAGTGTTTAATTTCAGGGTCCAGTTAGGGACTCATTGATTTTTCTAGACATCAGTCACCCCAGGAAAGAAAATACGAACAGCAATATTCAGCTTGAAAGTACTTGTAGGGCCAGGTGCAGTGGCTCATGCCTGTAATCCAGCACTTTGGGGGGCTGAGGTGGGCAGATCACTTGAGGTCAAAAGTTCAAGACCAGCCTGGCCAACATGGTGAAACCTCGTCTCTACTAAAAATACAAAAAAATTAGCCAGGCATTGTGGCATGTGCCTGTAATCCCAGCTACTCAGGAGGCTGAGACAGGAGAATTACTTGAACTTGGGAGGTGGAGGTTGCAGTGAGCCGAGATTGTGCCACCGCACTCCAGTCTGGGCAACAGAGCAAGACTCAAAAAAAAAAAAAAAGAAAAAAGAAAGTACTTGTAGGGCTGTTGTAAATATTAATGTGCAATCAATGATCTTTAAGTGCTTTGGAGAATTGTTCCATATAATAACAAAGTATTTATCATTATATACAGAAAGAGTGCTTATATGGTGTGAGAGGTTTCTTTTTTTTGAGACGGAGTCTTGCTCTGTCACCCAGGCTGGAATTCAGTAGTGCGATCTCGGCTCCCTGCAACCTCTGTCTCCTGGGTTCAAGCGATTCTCCTGCCTCAGCCTCCAGAGTAGCTGGGATTACAGGTACTTGCCACTACACCCAGCTAATTTTTGCATTTTTAGTAGAGACAAGGTTTCACCATGTTGGCCAGCCTGGTCTTGAACTCCTGACCTCAGGTGATCCGCCCACCTCGGCCTCCCAAAGTGCTGGGATTACAGGCTTGAGTCACTGTGCCCAGCCGAGAGATTTCTTATGAAACAGTCCACTGAGGCCTGCAGTATTGTTACAATCATATTGTCCAGTCACATTTGACACAGGGCCACAACCTTCTGAGAAAAGGGTTTCATTAAAAAGAGTAAATGACTTTCTTTTAATTTCCAACTTTTAAGTTCGGAGTACTTATAAAGGATGTTCAGGTTTGTTACATGGGTAAACGTGTGCCATGGTGGTTTGCTGCACAGATCATTCCATTGAGGAAATGACTTTCATGTGGGCACACATTTTGTGGTCATACTGTTTGCTGTTGGGAATCAGGTTTTTTTGCTCAAACTGGTAAACTTACTGAGGCTTGTTCTCTGCTTGGATGAAAGGACAGAATGAAAGATAGCTTTAATTTTATTCACCTATGTTAGGGAAGACTTTCAACCTTTTTGCTGAGTTGTAGAGTTCTGGTTCAATCTTAGAGAAAGGCAGCATGGTGGAGTGGGGCTTGGAGCCAAGGTGACTTGAATTTCCCACAGGCTCCATCACCTTTCAGCTGTGTGGCCTCAGGCAAGTCAATGAACCATTCTGAGCCTGTTTCTTCAACTGTAAAATAGAGATAATAACACAGCATCTTGCAGGAGTTGTGTGAAGATGAAAGCTTTAGGTACATGAAGATACAAAATACAGAAGAGTTTGGCACATGATAGGCCCTCGTAAATGTTCAGGAGTATACAGAATAGTTATGTATAAATATTGTTTATGAAATTAAAAAATCAGAAGATAAATTATGCTAATGCTAACCCGCCCACATTATGGATGATTAGTTTGGATTCAGGATCAGATTTGGAACATCTTTTGAAACATATGCAGGGCAGAGAAATTAACATTTAAATGCCTGGAGAACCTTACATTTTCTCATTCCTGACTTCTGGTATAAAATTTGCAATACAGCGTAAGTTTTTGGTATGCTCCCTTTTCTTTTGGACTTACTTACTTTTAATGAACAAACAAAACCACAGCATCATCTACAGTATTGGAAATTACAGCTACTAGGAGATGGAGCAATAAAAATGAGCCATAAACTCTAGTTAGCAGAGGGAAGCCCAAATCCAGGAGCTGACATAGTGAAGCTTCTAAAGACGACATAGGTGACTGATGCTGCTGCAATGTGATTAAATGGTTAAATGGTTATTTAGTCTGAAGGAAGTGGGCATCAGCCAAAAAGGAAGGATGGCATAGTTGTCTCACGCATTTGCTAAATCAAAATTAGAGAAATTATCTAGGGCATTCAGCTATTCTCTTGAGAACATAGCTATTTCTTAATTACCTAACTAGAAAACTCATGTTCCTCTGGAGAATTCTTAAGAAACTTTACAGAGAGTTTATGTGAACTGCAGCCTCTGGGGGCAAATGCCCCAGAGTGATTCTCTCACTTGAAATGAGTTCTCAGGTTCTGATGCAGCCAATCATCCCCTTGCAGCTTTTCCCTCCTTCCTGTCCCTTTCTACTACCACTAATCTAAGCAACTTCCCAGTTGGCCCCTGCCCCCAGCCTCTCCAATGTTACCTTCATGAAGCACAGTTCTAATCAAATCAGTCTGGCTCAGACACTTTTAGCAGCTCCACCACGCCCCACATGACGAAGTGCAAACTCCTTCAAAGGATATTTAAGGTCTTCCACGATCTGACCTCAACTTACGTTGAAACCTCATCTCATAGGTCTCCTTTATCACAGCCCTTATTCTTATCCTCATTACTAACCTCATGCATTCATTCAACAAACATTTTTAAAGTGCCACAAATCCAGCATCGTGATAGAGGATGAGCAAGACACAGCCTCTGCTCCAGGGAGCTCAGAGTCTGGTGATGGGTTGGACAAGCAAAAGAGTGTTACTGAATAAGGCGCCGTTATATTTATTTGCTGAACATCCAATGAATATTTAACAAGTACCTTTGATGTGTCAGTAACACACAAGCACACAGGGCAGGGGTGTCTAACTTTTCTTAGAGTCAGTGAAAGCTTAAAAGAGGAAGTGGCATTAACTGAATCTGGAGAGAATTTCAATCAGGGACAAAGTCCACATACAGGAAAAAAGGGCTTGAGGGAGCAAAGCACACATGATCTTGCTGAATGGTTCTTGTGGCTACAGCATGGCTGTAATATCATTTGAAGAAAACCTCTCTTCCTGGCCCTAATCCTGAGCATGTGCCCTTGATATCCCTTTAACTCAATTCATCCCTCAGGCTTGACTTGGAGGCCACTTACTCAGGGAAGTCTCTCTTGTTGGTTCAGACAATGCTAGTCCCCAGTTATTTACTCTGAGAATGTCTTCTACTTTTTCTTTCAAACACACATAATTATAAGTAAATAATTATCTAGGTAATTATTTAATGCCTATCTCTCCTTCTCTCACCATCAAACTTTTAAGGACAGAGAGGGCAGAATCATGTCTGATCAGTTCACCTTACATGCACAGTGCCAGTTATATAGTAAATGACCTAAATATTTTTGAATGACGTATACTTGTGGCCATTTTTCCTTTTTAGAGCTTCACCACATTTAGATATTGTGCAAAACATCCCAGAATCTGGAATGCACTCTAGTTCCACAGGGGCTGTTCCTCACTTTGCCTGATGGCCAATAACATGCATAAGTCTCCTTTATTCCCGCCTCAACAGGAGTGTGTGCACACACAGACACACACACACTCACTTACACACAGACTCACACACTCACATCCCTCTCTTTATTTCTATATTTGCATCCAGAAGCAAATATGTGTCAAGGGGATGTTGACCTGGTTAGAAAATCCTACTCTGGCAGAATCTTAAATATTTGCTACATAAATTCATCAGTGCAAGGGCAGACTTTATACTTAGAAACGTTCAGAATTGCCTTGGTTCCAAAATTTAAAAAGGAATCCAAAATTAAAAAAAAAAATCAAATTGTCTTAAAATGCTAAATATAGAGAATAACTATGGATACCAAGCCCCTTGATAATCTTATAGATAGCTGATCTACACTCATGGCTTCAAACATTACTTACGTGTTTGTCTTAGGGTGGGTCACCCAGAAGCAGAGCCTGATTTGTGAGCACACGATTTCTTAAGGAAATAATCCCCAGACTGGTAAGGGAGAGGGGGATGCAAACAGAGGAGAAGAAGCCCAGCAAAGGTAGGCAGTCTTTGCAGAGGGTAGTTTTAGCCCAGTCCTGGGCGTAAAGAAACCCTGGGGCTTGAGGTATGCCCAGAGTTTTTCAGAGAAAAGAGAACTAGGCTTTCACACACCTCGCCCTCTGCACCCTGTGCCTGTCTGTCACTGGTCAAGGGTTGTCCTAGAATAGGAGTCCCCAGACCCTGGGCCACAAACCGGTACTGGTCTGTGGCCTGTTAGGAACTGAGCTGCACGGCGGGAGGTGAGTGGTAGGCGAGCAAGCAGGCAAAGCTTCATCCGTATTTACAGTCACTCCCTATTACCTCTCGCATTACCACCTGAGCTCCACCTCCTGTCATATGGCGCAGGGGTCCCCAACCCCCGGACCGGTACCATGGACTGGTACTTGTCCATGGCCTGTTAGGAACTGGGCTGCACACCAGAAGATGAGCAGTGGGTGAGAGAGTGAAGCTGAGCTCCACCTCCTGTCAGATCAGCGGCGGTGTTAGATTCTCATAGAAGCGGGAACCCTATTGTGAACTGCATATGCGAGGGATCTAGGTTGCAGGCTCCTTATGATAATCTACCGCCTAATGATCTGTCACTGACTGCCATCATCCTTAGATGGGACCATCTAGTTGCAGGAAAACAAGGTCAGGGCTCCCGCTGATTCTACATTATGGTGATTTATATAATTATTTCATTATATATTTCAATGTAATAATAATAGAAATAAAGAGCACAATAAATGTAATGTGCTTGAATCATCTCAAAACCATCCCTCTGCACCACCCGGTCCATGGAAAAATTGTCTTCCATGAAACCGGTCCCTGGTGGCAAAAAGGTTGGGAACCCCTTTCCTAGAGATAAGTAAATTTCCAGGTATATCTTGTTCTGTAGTTGTAGGGGGCAAAGCAGCTCTAAAAGCCCAAGGGCAAGGCTCCAAAGAGACACAGGTGCTGGGTGTTAGAAGCAAAAGCATGAGTGGGGCTCTCAGAAAACAAGTTACTCCAGGGAATCCAGGTGGAGCAGATGACTGTCCACTACAATCCTTACTGCTCTCAAAATTTCCTCCAGCTTGGACTTTCCACCTGAACTTCAGACCCATGCATCCAACTGCCTACTTGACATCTCTACTTGGATATCTGTGTCAGTTACTTATTGCCACAATAATGTTGTATAACATACAACTACAAAACCTTAGGTGCATATAATAACAAACTATTTTTTTTGTTTACAGTCTGTGGGCCAGCTGGGCAGTCCAGATTATTTGAATTGGGATTGGCGAAGCTCATTTATGCATCCGTTGTCGGCTGTGGGTTTGCCGAGTGGCTTGACTAATCTTTGCTGGGCTTTCTCAAATGTATGGGGCCTCAGCTGGGACAACTGAGCTGATTCCGCTCTGCTGCACATGTCTCATCCTCCAGCGGGATGGCCTAGGAGAGAGGGAGAGAGGGAGGAAGAAGAAGAGAGAGCAAGAACTCTCGCGCGAGAGCCCCCTAATTTGCAAGGCAAGGCAGGCAGCATTTATAGACAAAACAGAAGTGAGGTACAGAAACAGCTTGGTTACAGCTCAGTAACCAATCAGCAGACACCATATTTGAACCTGGTCTGATCAGTTGGCCACCTGTGACCTACTGAAGCTCAGCTGCTGTGATTGGCTGGGACTCAGCTATTTGTTACAAAAGTCGGCTCATGATTTCTGCTTTCATTTAATTTATGTCTAAGTTGGATTGCAGTTTGTTACATAGGGACTCAAAGTATGGAGGCAACCCCAGGTGGGAATTTGGCTTCATTTAACAAGGCTTAGACCCAGAACTGGCCACTGTTCCTATTACCACATTCTATTACCAAAAGAGAGTCACTGGTTAATTCAAAGGGTGGAGAAATAGACTTCACCTTTGATGGAGGAGCTTTAGAGGCCATTTCTGTAAACAGCCTACCAAATGCCTAACAGGCATCTGCTTTATTGGTGGCAGTTGAGCAAAGTTCCATTGTTAAAGACAGGTCACGCCTGTAATCCCAGCACTTTGGGAGGCCGAGGCGGCGGATCACGAGGTCAGGAGATCGAGACCATCCTGGCTAACACGGTGAAACCCCCGTCTCTACTAAAAAATACAAAAAAAATTAGCCGGGCGCGGTGGCGGGCGCTTGTAGTCCCAGCTACTCGGGAGGTTGAGGCAGGAGAATGGCGGGAACCCGGGAGGCGGAGCTTGCAGTGAGCCGGTATCGCGCCACTGCACTCCAGCGTGGGAGACAGAGCGAGACTCCGTTTCGAAAAAAAAAAGACTTACAGGACACCAAATGACAGTGCTTACCGATCTACAGTTTACTGCCGGAAAAGGATACGATATAGCAGCAGCATTGAAGTAGGGGCGTGCATCACAACCAAGGGTTGTGTCACAGCAAGGGGTCCAGGGAGGCCAGGTGCAAGCTCCAATTATCCTCCCTCTGTAAGGGCCGTGCTTGACATGCCCTCTCCCAGATCAGGAACCAATGATGTATGCACGGAACACCTTACAACTGGGGAGCCCCAAATAGAGTCTTATCTCGGGTCTCAGGTGTTTTGTTTGTTTGTTTGTTTTTTGAGATGGAGTCTCGCTCTGTCGTCCAGGCTGGGGTGTAGTGGCGCAATCTCGGCTCACTGCAAGCTCTGCCTCCCGGGTTCACGCCATTCTCCTGCCTCAGCCTCCCGAGTAGCTGGGACTACAGGCGCCCGCCACCACGCCCAGCTAATTTTGTTTTTGTATTTTTAGTAGAGATGCGGTTTCACTGTGTTAGCCAGGATGGTCTTGATCTCCTGACCTTGTGATCCACCCACCTCGGCCTCCCAAAATGCTGGGATTACAGGTGTGAACCACTGCGCCCGGCCAGCAAAGATATTACTCTCTATCATGTTTGTATATACATATACACTCATATATGAAAAGTGAAATATAATTGAAACAAACTGGTTAAGCATTCCTAAAACTTCTACACATTCCGAATCCAACTCTTCAGAACCATTTTTGACATTGACTCATTAATGTCCATGTTTTAAAATCAAGAATGTTCTTGAAAGAGTGCTCCACTCTTGTCTCTGGAATTCTCCCCCAGGTCCCCGACACGATTTAGCACTTTTGGACGAATAAGCACAGGCGATGATAGCTACATCGTGACGGCTGCCTGGTCTCAGTGACTGTAACAGGCACCCTGATTTCAACAATGTTAAAATATAAAAAAAATTTGCATCTGAGAGTCAGTGACATAAGGAATACAATGAGATACCCATTTCCAAAAGTCTTAATGATTTATTTTTTATTTTTTTTGAGATGGAGTCTCACTCTGTCACCCAGACTGGGGCACAGTGGCGCGATCTCGGCTCACTGCAAGCTCTACCTTCCGGGTTCACGCCATTCTCCTGCCTCAGCCTCCCGAGTAGCTGGGACTACAGGCGCCCGCCACTGCGCCCAGCTAATTTTTTGTATTTTTAGTAGAGACAGGGTTTCACCGTGGTCTTGATCTCCTGACCTTGTGATCCGCCCGCCTCGGCCCCCCAAAGTGCTGGGATTACAGGCGTGAGCCACCACGCCCGACCTAATGATTTTTTTTAAAACTGATTCTAACTTCTTTCTCTTTCTACTATTGCAGAATAGGTCAATTGTATTAACCACAGCAATCACGTGCAGCACGTGCAGTCAAAGAAAGCCTTTCACTAAAGTGTATCCTCATTATTTGCACAATGATAATCATTAAGTCATTAAAGTGAATTGCAGGAATAAAATTATTAAAGGTTGGTAATGATTTCAATACATCAAATTGAAGAAATATAGTCCTTTAAACTTTGATTATAGTTGGTTTTTTATAGAACTGTTTGGAGGATATTTTGGCATAGTATTTACATGTAACCTACACACAGCCTCTTGCATAATTTAAGTCATATCTAGTTACTTGTAATACCAACTACAATGTAATGTTATGTTAATAGTTGTTATACTGTATTTTTTAAAATTTGGATTATTTTTTATTGTTGTATTGTGGTATTTTTTCAGAATATTTTCAATCTACTGTTGGTTGAGTCTTTGGATGTGAAACTCCTAAAGAGGGGGGACTGGCTATAACTTTAATCCAAAAGAAACATGCGAAAGTTATTTAGGTTGTGGCCAGGTGCGGTGACTCATGCCTGTAATCCCAGCACTTTGGGAGGTTGAGGTGGGCAGATCACCTGAGGTCAGGAGTGTGAGACCAGCCTGGCCAACATGGTAAAACCCCATCTCTACGAAAAATAGAAAAATTAACTGGGCATGGTGGCAGGCACCTGTAATCCCAGCTACTCAGGAGGCTGAGGCATGAGACTCACTTGAACCCAGGAGGCGGAGATTGCAATAAGCCGACATTGTGCCATTGCACTCCAGCCTGGGTGACAGAGTGAGACTTCGTCTCAAAAAAAAAAATTATTTAGATTGCAGTATCTTTTTATTATCTCTTTAGTAACTGGTTATTAAAGTGACTATTTATTAAATATATTTTTAAATATTAAACATTTTTTATTGAGGTAAAGTTCACAGAACATAAACTTCATAATTTAAGAGTATATAAACCCGTCTCTACAGAAAATAAACAAATTAGCTGGGTGTGGTGGCCTGTAGTCCCAGTTACTTGGGAGGCTGAGGTAGGAGAGGGGCTTGAACCTGGAAGGTCAAGGCTGCAGTGAGCCAAGGTTGCACCATGGCACTCCATCCTGGACGACAGAGTGAGACCCTGCCTCAAAACAACAACAACATAAAGAGTATATAATTCACGGTATTGCATAGCCATCACCTCCATCTAGTTCTAAAACATCTTCATTGCCCCAAAAGGGAACCCCTTACCCATTAAGCAGTCTGCTCCCCTTCCCCTTTCTCCCAGTCCTTGGCAACCACTAATCTTTGTCTCTATAGACTTACCTATTCTAGATAGGTCATGTAAGTGAAATCATATAATATGTGGCCTTTTGTGTCTGGCTTCTTTTACTAAGCATGTTTTCAAGTTTCATCCACCTCATGGCCCAAATCAGTACTTCATTCTTGTTTATGGCTCAGTAATATTCCACTGTATGAATATACCACAGTTTCTTTAAGCACTTACCAGTTGATGGACATATGGGTTGTTTCCATCTTTGGCTACTGTAAATAGTGCTGCTGTGAGCACTGGTGTACAAGCTTTTGTTTGAATACCTCTTTTTCAGTTCTTTTGGGAATATACCTAGGAGTGGAGTTGCTGGGTCATATGGTAATTCTATATTTAACTTTTTAAGGAACTGCCAAAGTGATTTCCACAGAGGTTGCATCATTTCATATTCCCACTAACAATGCACGAGGGTTTCAGTTTCTCTATGTCCTCACCAAACATCATTAAATATATTATTGAGAAGTTTTTCTGGAACTGTAATACAGAATTTATGAAAATCTAAATTTACAGAACGGTTTGGAGGGCATTTTGGCACATGGCTTGGCATTTTTAAGTTGTTAACAGTGTGAAGTATTCGGTGCTTCCCTGCAGTCAGAGCCCCTGGTTATTCTGGGAGCCACATGGCACTTGACCTCACAGTTAGTTTTAAGGCTCTGTTCCCTTGCTCGTTCCATGGTGTAGAACATTCCCATTTCTCATAGACCTTTATTTCTCAATTTTCTTTCTGCAGAGCACAAAGCCTTCCTCTGTATCCCCCACCCAGTAACTCCTCCCAATCCCCCAGTCTTATTAATATCCCAGCCCGTAGGAAAAACCGTCAAAGGAGATAACACCTGCCCACACATCCCCCATTGCACTCTGATAATATCTAATGAGACTTTCCAAGGCTCACCTTCAGCATGACAAACACCAATTCTCCCTGCTGGATTCCTGCTGTACCTGTCCCCAGTCCAACAACTTCCTGTTAGGAAAACCTGGCAGTTTTTCAATTAAGCAGATTGCACATGTCTTTCCAGAAATCTCAGGATCCTGGTGTGGTGAAAAGGACAGAATATCTGGGCTCTAGGCCCCATCTGTCACCCATGACCTTTGTTCTTTTCAGCATTTCCTACTGAATTTCTGCCAACTGCAAAGTGCTGTATTATACAGTGGACAGATCACTGGTCCTGCCTAGGTCTCAAATCTAGGAGAGGAAACACCTTGTCTTTCCTGGATCTGAATGATCCTGGACATCTATTCCACCTGAAAGTAATTCTTTGCTTCTGAATTGGAAAGACTGTCTCGATGGGAGGGAACAGTGATACTATTTCTTGGTACTATAAATGGTACTATTTCTTGTTTTATCGAGTCTAGAAGTAGGCGTGTAACAAATGAGTAAACGTTCCCAAAATATTTGGGAGAGGACATGAGACATGGAAAGAAAATTGAGACTTGCCGTCACTTTCACAAAGCCCCCCAAATTCAGCAGAACAAAAATCTCAGAAGGAAAGGCAATCCTCGAACTTAAATGCATTTTTACTTTGTGTATTAGCCTTATTTTTCCAATTTCTAGGGAACCACTGGCTTAGAGAAGAGAATCCAAAGAAGCAGAAACCCAATCTTCCGCTGACGTCTCAACAATGTGCCATCTGAACGATTTCTCATTTCTCTGTCTCCCTAGTTTCTTTTTCAGTTAACTCAAAAGTTTTCACTGGCCCATTTGAGCATTTTCGAAGTGTAACTAACGTCTACAGCCACTAGAGGGCAGACCGCAGCCTGAGGTCCGGTCCTGAGGCTGCAGAACCATCACCTCATTTCATTTTCCCTGCGTGCCTCCAGACGGCGCTGCAGCTCGTGTCAATCTTGCCAGCTCCGACGCTCCTGGCGCTGAGCTCCTCACTGGAGAGGGTAGGGAGAGTCTACCGTATCTGAGAGGCAACTGAGGAAGGGGCACCCTTCCTGGAGACGCTGCCCTGCATCAGAATCCCAGGAGGAGCTTTCCTCTTTGTATTTAAATTCTGTAACTGGAATTCATCATTGGCATAAAAAATATTTATAAAGTTCTTCGGCAGCGTCGTAGGCTACTAAGCGTGGAATAAACAGACGCTGCCCCGTCAGGGTTGAGTGACCCATCAAAACTCCTGAGGAACTTTCTCCTGTCAGTTTCTTCAGGGACAGCAGGACGACATTCTCCTTTCCCTCCCTCTAAAAACACAGGCAGGATATCATCTTTGGAGTCTTAGCATTCTCACACATCATGTTCTCAGTTCATCCAGAACCTTGAGAGGGAGGTATTCTATTTCTCCCAGTTTCATTTTTATTTTAAAACTCAATCTCGGGTTTCAGAAATCTGTTTTAACGATTTTAAACTTTTCTTTTCTTTTCTTTTTGAGACGGAGTCTTGCTCTGTTGCCAGGCTGGAGTGCACTGGCGCGATCTCCGATCACTGCAACTTCTGCCTCCCGGGTTCAAGCGATTCTGTTGCCTCAGCTTCCCCAGTAGCTGGGACTACAGGCGCCCGCCACCACGCCTGGCCAATTTTGTGTATTTTTAGTAGAGATGGGGTTTCACCGCATTAGCCAGGATGGTCTCGATTTCCTGACGTCGTGATCTGCCCTCCTCGGCCTCCCAAAGTGTTGAGATTACAGGCGTGAGCCACCGAGCCCGGCCCGATTTTAAACTTTTCAAAGCAAAGTTGATGTTAAAAACATGAAATACCACGAAAGAGCTTGTCATGAGAAGGAACGTTCCCAGTCTATTCCTTCCCACACGCCACCCCTGGTTCTCCAGCTAAAGGCGACCTTTAGGAACTTTTAACAGTTTCTATTTTCAGGATTTCTTGGGGGTCACCTCCAGATCTCTAAGTGATGTACCCATGGTACTATTTCTTGTTTTATTGAGTCTAGATTATAAACAATCTACTGAGTTTCTCTTTTAACAGATGAGGATTTAGCCTTTTTGAGGAAGTCTCTTGTGATCTCTGTTTTGAAGATGAGAAAACTGAAACTCACAAGGTTCAAGTGACGTGTCCAAGGTCACATAACCAAGAGCTGATGGAGTGGGAATTAGGACCCAGGTTTCCTAACTCTAGGATCCTTGTAATTTCCACCCCACGTTGTGGGGGACTCAACCCGCCTTTGCAAAAATTATAACTGAGAAAATTATGACAATGAAAGAGATCTGACGTAACCAACTCCATCTTGCTTCTAACCTCCAAGCTGTCCTTGTTCATTCCTGGGTGTAGGCTGAACTAACTTTGCGAGGAACTTAGTTTATAGTTTAACTTTGAAACAAAGGTGACAACAGCCCTTTCCCAAAACAAACCCCCTTCCTGCTTGGGACCAGACTGCCTTTAGAGGACTAATAGATTAGCCTCTATTAGTCCTCTAATCTTGTGGCTACAAGATTAGAAATTATGGTTCAGGAGTCATGCAGCTGGAGGCTATAAGATTCTGAACTGGCCAGGCACGGTGGCTCACGCCTGTAATTCCAGCACTTTGGGAGGCCGAGGTGGGTGGATCACGAGGTCAAGAGTGCAAGACCAGCCTGGGCAAGATGGTGAAACCCCGTCTCTACTAAAAATACAAAAAAATTAGCCAGGCTTGGTGGCACGCGCCTGTAATTCCAGCTACTTGGGAGGCTGAGGCAGAGAATTGCTTAAACCCAGGAGGCCGAGGTTGCAGTGAGCCAAGATTGCGCCACTGCACTCCAGCCTGGGCGACAGGGAAAGGCTCCATCTCAAAAAAAAAAAAAAAAAAAAAAAAGGAAAAGAAAAGATTCTGAAGATTCTGAACCTCCTTGAATTACTCCTGGGGATAAATCATCATTGTAAAATTTAAGATCAGTGCTTGAGCTATTTTGCAGACTCTGTGCTGGATATATCAGCTGGCACCACCCAGATGGATACACTGGCTCATCTGGTCTTGTGGCCCCCACCCAGGGACTGCCAGACAGCACAAGAGGACAGCTTCGACTCACTGTGATTTCATCTCCAACCCAACAATCAGCACTCCTGACTCACGGTCCCCTAGCCACCAAATTATCCTTAAAAACTCTGATCCCTGGCTGGGCGCCGTGGCTCACGCCTGTAATCCCAGCACTTTGGGAGGCCGAGGTGGGCGGATCACAAGGTCAGGAGACCGAGTCCAGCCTGGCTAACACGGTGAAACCCCGTTTCTACTAAAAACACAAAAAATTAGCCGGGCGTGGTGGCGGGCGCCTGTAGTCCCAGCTACTCAGGAGGCTAAGGCAGGAGAATGTCGTGAACCCGGGAGGCGGAGCTTGCAGTGAGCCGAGATTGCGCCACTGCACTCCAGCCTGGGCCACAGATCGAGATTCTGTCTCAAAAAAAAAAAAAAAAAAAAAAAAAAAAAAAACTCTGATCCCTTAATTCTCAGAGACTGATTTGAGTAATAATAAAACTCCGGTCTCCCCTACAGCCAGCTCTACATGAATTAAATTCCTTCTCTGTTGCGATTCCCCCATCTTGATAAATCAGCTCTGTCTAGGCAGTGGGCAAGGAGAACCCCCCGGGCAGTTACAGCACCACTTCACGGCTTACCCGCCAGGGTAATTACCTTCTAGGGTTGTATTCAGGTGTCAAAACTGAGGTAGTGGCCAGGCGTGGTGGCTCACATCTGTAATCCTAGCATTTTGGGAGGCCATGGCTGGCGGATCACCTGAAGTCAGGGGTTCGAGACCAGCCTGGCCAGCATGATGAAACCCCTTCTCTACTAAAAATATAAAAATTAGCCAGGCGTGGTAGCACTTGCCTGCAATGGCAGCTACTCGGGGGGCTGAGGCAGGAGAATCACTTGAATCCAGGAGGCAGAGCTTGCAGTGAGCCAGAGATTACACCATTGCACTCCAGCCTGGGTGACAGAGTGAGACTCTGTCTCAAAAAAAAAAAAAAAAAAAAAAAAAAAAAGACTGATGTAGTAAGGCTCCTTAAAATGGGTCTGAGAGATAAAATACAGGATGCCCAGTTAGATTTGAATTTCAGACAAAGAACAAATACTTTTTTGGTATAAATATGCCCTAAATATTGCATGGGGCATACCCACTGGAATATGCATGGGACATACTTGCTTTTATTTGCTAAATCTGGCAATTATAGGAGAGAAAATATTTCTTTTCTCACCAATTGCCAGGTTCATGGTTCAGACTCCTATAATAAGAGACAGATTAACAAGAGAAGAGTTTAACAAATTTATTTGAAGTAAGTTTTATGTGACAGGGGCTGGGCGCAGTGGCTCACACCTGTAATCCCAGCACTTTTAGAGGCTGAGGTAGGATGATTGCCTGAGCCCAGGAGTTCAAGACTAGCCTGAGCAACATAGCGAGACCCCCATCTCTACAAAAAGTTTAAAAATGAGCTTGGTGTGGTGGCATGCACCCGTAGCTCCAGCTACTTGGGAGGCTAAGGTGGGAGGATTGCTTGGGAAGATCCCCAGTGGGAGGAGGTCAAAGCTGCAGCGAACCATGCTCATACCACTGCACTCCAGCCTGGCTGACAGAGTGAGACCTTGTCTCAAACAAAAGAGAACAAAACAAGCTTTATGTGACCCGGGAACCTTCAGAAATTAAGATCCAAAGAAACAGGGAAAACTGTGTATGTTCATGAACAGTCATGCAGAAGTATGATTGGGTAAAAGGGTATTAGCTAATGGTTATAAACAGGAGGGAACTTAGCAAGTCCTGTTCGGATTCTTCTTGGTGTCTCTGTGTCTTCAGATAGGGACATTCCTTTCCTCCAGGTATACGGTGGGCCATGCTGGAGTGAGAGATTTACAACCTATATCAGAGGAGAAGGAACAAGGGGAAGAAAGTGAGGGAGACCTTCCTGCTTCTGTTGTCTTCTCAAATGCCAAGGTGCCCTGTTTTGGGGTAGTGTGTGCTGAACTCCATCACAATTCTACTTTGACTATGAATCTAGGCTTATACATAGGCTGGTTTCTAGAACTGCAGGTACAGTAACAGGCCTATGGTTTATTCATGACAAAGGAATTTTTCTGAGAAAGACAGACACTATTTATGACTTCCATACAGATAAAATATAAAACAGGCAAAGTTAAAACATATAATATTTACTGATACAGACACATAAAGTAAGATGACAAAGAAAAGCAAGTGAATTGGTAATACAAAATTTAGGAGAGTGATTACCTGGTATGTGTGGGATATGTCATGAGGAGAAGTAGACCAGGGGCTTCTAAGCTCTAGGGAAAAGGCTAGGGAAATGGTGTGCATTTTATTTTTTGATGTAGTATATTTCTATGCACTCTTTGTGTATATATTTTATTTTTTATTTTTTAAAAAGGCTGGGTGCAGTGGCTTGCGCCTGTAATCCCAGCACTTTGAGAGGCTGAGGCAGGTGGATCACTTGAGGTCAGGAGTTCAAGACCAGCCTGGCTAACAGAGTGAAACCCCATCTCTACTAAAAATACAAAAAATTTTTTAGCTTGGTGTGGTGGTACGCACCTGTAATCCCAGCTACTCGGGAGGCTGAGGCAGAGAATCGCTTGAACCTGGGAGGTGGAGGTTGCAGTGAACTGAGATCACGCCACTGCACTCCAGCCTGGACAACAGAGTGAGATTCCATCTCAAAAAAAAAAAAAAAGAAAATAAAAAAGAAAAGAAGCATTCCTAGATTCTGAACGACACAGACCAAGGTTGTAAACCTAGCTCTAGCATCTCTGAGCTTTGGTTTCTTTATCTGTAGAATGGGAATAATAATACGTAGTTGGCAGCACTGTTGTGTGTTTTAAAAATAATATATGTAAAGAACAGCAGAGGGTAGGCATCTAGCACATCTTTAGGAAATGCTACTGTCAATTAAGTCTACGTAGGAGTGAAGTAGAGATTGTGCCAGAACTTCCACATCCTTCTAGGTAAGCTGTGATCAGATACTGTCTTTGCTTCTGTTGGCTGTTGCCTTCTTACCTAAACTCTTTCTTTTGTGGGTGTGTATTGAAATTCTGAAGAAATCACCTGAAACTTCACATAATTTTGAATGTTGAACTACTTCTTAATAGTAAACTGTGGCCCTTTAAAAAATAGATTTGTGAGTAAATGAGTGATGTTTGTAAAGGGAAGAGCCAAAAAGGAAAGTCAATTCCCTGTTAATGTTAAGTTCTAGCTTCAAAGCACAGGAGACATGTAGAGAAATCAATGAGGAAAAGTTTCTTGATTGGAACAGGCAATCATTTGCCATGGACATGCAAAAGGTAAATCATTTTCATTAATTGTACACTCTCAGGCTCCCCACTGGAGAAAGAGATTTTTAGCAAAATTCTAGAATTCTAAATATACAGAACATTTTCCCATGTTCTGCATATTTCTATACAGAATTACTAATATACTGAAGTCTTTTGGCTTCAAAAAAAAGAACCAACTTCCCTTGGCTGAAGAATTCACTTTAAGCCATAATTTAATGTTAAACAAACCAAGCCTTTAAAAAAAATGAGGTAAAGAGAACCTTCAAATTAAGAATGCTAATTGAAGAATTTTTCATGTAAGTATTCAGAATTGGCTGAAGGGAGGATTCACTATGCCAGTTTAGAAGGAAATATTCTACCAAAGTTTATTTTTATACATTTTGCATCAAGTTAAAATATCCTGAGAGTAAAATGTTCAAACTCACTAGTAATGCAATAACATAAATCAAAATAATATTGAGAAATCATTTCACCCTCAAAAATATTAACGCTCAGTGCTGCCACAGGTATGGTGTACAGTGAAGCAGGCTTTCTTGCACTTTGCTAGTGGAGTATAAATTCGGACAATCTGGAAAAGCAGTTTGCTAGTATCTATTAAGAGCTCTAAACATATCTATATTCTTTGACCTTGTAACTTTAGACTATTTCCTTAAAATCTCAGAAGCACAGCCTTGGTCAAAAAGGAAACCACCCACCCTTCATCAGAGGTCTGGTTTCCAGTTCATAGAATAAATGTGAATATTATCATTATATTTTCTGATAATGGTGGAAAAGTGAGCTATCTAAACATTCATCAACGGGAATGATGAGGTAACTTAGTGTGCACTCATACTGTGGAGATATACCCAGCAAGTACATTTACCAAGATGTTAATGAAAAGATAAAATGCTCACAAGTTTACGTTAAATGAAAAAAGCAGTATGCAAATGGCACAAAATTATCTCAACTATGCAAAATACGTACTTATAAATATATTGGAATAAGAGAAACCAATCTACTAACACATAGTAATTTTAGGATTGAGGGATTGTAAGTGATTTTTATTTTCTTCTTTATATGTTTTCCTATTTTCCAAATTTTCTACAATGAGCACTATTACCATAATAATAAAAACCAAAAAGATATTTTTAACAATTCCGAGGCAGTGGCATATTTCTCTATTGGTTATACATGAATTGACTCGTGTTCAGGGGAGAAAGAAAGCTAATGACACAGGTCCAATATACCATTTCACTTCCTCAAGGCAGGGTTAAAATGGCATTTTCTCAACATGTGTTCGCTTCAAAGAGTGTGTGCAGCATACATTACCAGTAAGTTGCAGGATTTCGCTCTATTTCTAGAACTCCAGTACCTGAGTTAAACAAAAGTCATGCTTTTCATATTGGTATATGAAATGACATACATCTCTAGTTCCTTGAGAGAGCATGCAATTTGTAATGCCTATTATTTTTATGTTATGAAACCCATCTCTATAATTATTAGGCAGAAGGCGTAATGAAGTTGGCTGATTACAAAGGAAGGGGAAGCCAAGTGTTTCCAGCTCTCTGATGTTTTCTAGTGATAGCCATTGATTAGAGCAGTGTTATTTTGAAGCAATTTTACTGAAAAGGGAATATGTTTATAGAACATTAATTGAGTTTATTGCTTAAGAGCTTTAAATTTCATGATTTGGGCATTGGTCTCTCTCTCCAGGATTTCAGAGTGTGTCTTAATATGTTTAGTGTTGCTGTAACTGAACACTCGAGACTGGGTAGTTTATAAAGATAAAAGGTTCTTTGACTCATCACTCTGGTGGCTGGAAAGTCCAAGATTAGGCATTGGTATCTGGTGAAAGCCTTAGGTTGCTTCAACTCACAGTGGAATGGAGCCAGTGTGTGCAAAGAGATAGGGAGAGAGGAGGCAAGGGAGATGGGTTTTGGGTGGGGGGTACCTGGCTCTTTTTAACCACTAGATCTCATGGGACTTAATAGAATGAGAATTCACTCACCTTGAGGGAGGGCATTAATCTATCCATGAGGGATCTGCCTCCATGATCCAAACACCTCCCACCAGGCCCACTCCAACACTGCCACATTGGGACTCAAATTTCAACATGAGGTTTAGAGGGGACAAACATGCAAAACATAGTATAGCATGGTGGGAATAGGATAAAGCAGGAATCCACTGTTAAATTTTACTTACAATCAATGTTCTAAGTCTTCTTGGTCAGATCGTTCTTTAAATATATATAATTCTTAAATTGAAAGGGTCAGTTCTAGAGTGACATTACATATGCTGTTGCTGACAATGCAATGCTCTTTGCAAAAACAGGTTTAGGTTAAAGAAAGGCCAGTGACCAGGCTGACTGGCAACATACAAAGGAAAGGCCATAAAAACTTGAACTTTACAAAGTTGTTCTTCACCATTTTGCTGTGTGGCATTTATTATTCCAAAAACTAAGGAACAGCAATATTCATTGAAATGTTCATAAAGTCATCAAGTTTATATACCTCCTTTTAAATATATCATTTGAGAGGTGGAAGAATCATCTGAGCTCAGGAGTTCAAGACCATCCTGGGCAACATAGCGAGACCCCATCTCTCAATTTTAAAAAGTAAAAATAAAAATATCATTTGATCCTGGAAGTCTCACACATTATAAAGGAAATATTTAAATAAGGCTCTTCAGGTTACTTGAAAAACTCTTTGGCTTAGCTTAGCTGAAATGAACTGAGTATTGTTTTATGTTGGAGAATAGTACTTTGTTTGCTAATATATAATATTATGTATGTACTACTGCTTTACAAATTAATTGTTTCATGGATATTGGCTTATATCCCCAACTAGATTAAAAATAGCAGTGGGCAGGACCTATGTCTTATATTCCTTTTATATTCTCCATGGCATCAAACACTATGCTGAAAATCAGGGTGCATTTGGAAAGAAGCGGGAAAACTTAAGACTAGTGAGAGAGAAAGCACCTGAAAATAAAAATCTGAAATGAGACTGGGGATGCTACAGCCTAAAAGAACAATCTAGGGCTGGACTTTAAGGTCTGAGGTCTGGAGACCCTGCAACACATCCCTTTTCAAAAGAAGAAGCTGTTGCAGGTGGGGCTCTGTTTGACTTTCAGAAGGATTTTTGCTGGGCATGACCCCTCACATTAAGTGAGGCTTTTAAAAATTTTTGTACTGATGCATTCATATTTGAAATGCAGTCTAATGTTCTTATTGAGTATATAGAAAGGAAATAGCCCTGTTTTGTATTCTTAATCCCTTGGAGCTTTTTAAATTTTTAACTTGATAAATCAACTATGTGAAGAGATGCTATGAGCTGCTTTACAAGCACTCAAATGATTTATGGCATCACTTCCCAAGTATTTGTAAAGGATTATTTCAGAATTAATCAATTATATCTTTTTTTCTTTTTTTTTTTTTTTTTGAGATGGAGGTTCACTCTGTCACCCAGGCTGGAGTGCAGTGGCGCGATCTCGGCTCACTGTAACTTCTGCCTCCTGGGTTCATGCCATTCTCCTGCCTCAGTCTCCCAAGTAGCTGGGACTACAGGCACCCATCACCACGCCCGGCTAATTTTTTCCATTTTTAGTAGAGACAGGGTTTCACCATGTTAGCCAGGATTACTCGATCTCCTGACCTCATGATCTGCCCTTCTTGGCCTCCCAAAGCACTGGGATTACAGGCGTGAGCCACCGTGCCCCGCCTCAATTATATCTTACATTATCACCCACAACAATCATCATCTTTAGCTACCATTACATGTGGACCAGAAGAGTGAACATCTTAAAATTCCTCCAGAATAAATAATCCGTGCTAACTCTCATCAATTCCTCAGACAAGGTTTTGCTTTGCTAGGTCTTAAAGTTTCAATCTGGCCAGGCACAGTGGTGTACACCTGTAATCTCAGCACTTTGGGAGGCCTAGGCTGGTGAATCACTTGAGTCCAGGAGTTTGAGACCAGCTGAAGCAACATGGTGAAACCCTGTCCACACAAAAAATGCAAAAATTAGCCAGGTGTGGTGGTGCACACCTGTAGTCCCAGCTACTTGGGAGGCTGAGCTGAGAGGATTACTTGAGCTCAGAAAGTCAAGGCTGCAGTGAGGCATGGTCACACCACTGGACAACTGAGCAAGACCCTGTGTCAAAAAAAAAAGTTTGAATCTAATAGCATGCAACTTTTTGCTGCTGTTATTTAATTAATAGTTTATTTGATAAATATACTCCATGAGAGGCATTCCAAATGGATTTTGGGGATAAACGTCTTCACGTTTATGGAGATAAGCATGAATAGAAGGAGGGAGGCAATCATGAATGATACATGTTACCATAATCATATGTATGTAAACTACAACACATCAAACTATGTCTTATGTTGAGAAAAACAGTTGGAATTTAAGTGTTTCCAATGTGTTATTTGTTAAGCTAGTGTCTCTCAGCTTTGAACCTATAGTTCCATATCCTGTTTTGTGATGCAGGCACTCTGCAAACCTTTCTCTTTATTGGTTGGTTCCTTTAGGCTCTGCTAATTGGGCACTAGAGAGAGACTGTGGGGTTGGAGGGGGAAGACAAGGTGCTCTCTTTTCTCTTTGCTTCAGAGTCACCTTAGCTATGCTACTTCACTTGCCAGCAGCAGTTCCCTCCAGAAGCAGCATGATTCCAATTTGCTGACTTACTAAAATGTAGAGAACCAGCCTTATCATGCACTCCTAGAGATGTGGCCTCAGTGAACAGGAAACCCCCTCCCTTCCTCATAGGTCTGGGTCTCAGCTCCTGAGGACCCTCTTCCAGATTTCTGAAGCACCAGCATTATCTGGGCAACAGTCGCTCTTCAGAGGTCTGAATTCCAGTCTGTAGGGACCCATTCTTCAAGACTGTCAGTTTCAATAATTCCAACCTTTTTCTTTAGTTCCTCAGTTCTAGTGGGGATAGCTGTGTCCTATGGATGTGGTAAGGCATCTCTGAGATACCTTACTGTTCCTTCATTGCCTTTTTAGTTGTTCCATATCTGGCCAGCAATTCCTGATACTACTTTCTCTCTGTTAAGCTAACTGGGGTGGTTTCTGTCTTCTTATGGGATCCTGACCAATACAGCTTCCTAAAACATTAAGATTGGGAGGGTCAATGTTAATGTTCATAAAATACACATGGCTGGTTGCTGAAAATTTTGGGCAGGTAAGAGGGAGAAATTCCTTTTTTATTCCCAGCTCTGGGAGCTTTCCTAATAGTCCAGTGGACCAGGCTATATAGAAACAAATTTAAAAGTACACATATTTAAGCCAATTTAAAAAAATATGTATTTTTTCCTTTGTTGCCTAAAAGTTTCTGTAGAAGCTCTCATTCCTAAAAATCACGTGATGCATCTAGACATTCTATAAGATTCTTTTCTTTTTTTGTTTTTAGAGATGGAGTGTTGCTCTGTCACCCAGGCTAAAGTTCAGTGGCACAATCACAGCTCACTGTAGCCTCCAACTCCTGGGCTCAAGTGATCCTCCTGCCTCGGCCTTCCAAAGAGCTGGGATTACAGGTGTGAGCCACCACGGCTGGGTTAAGCATTCTGTATGTCTTTTAAAGAAATCTTTGCCAAACTCAAGATCACTAAATTCTCCTATCTATTGTATTCCTTCAGAAATTTTATAGTTTTGGCTCTTACATTTAAGGATTCATTTTGAGTCAAATTTAGTGTATACTGTGAGATAAAGATTGAGGGTTCTTTTTTTTTTTTTTTAGGTAAATGACACTACAATTCTTTCAGAATCATTTGCTGGAAAGATTGTCTTTACCCCATTGAATTGCCTTGGCATCTTTGTCAGAAATCTACTGGTTAAATGTGTATGTATTTTATTTCTAGAGTCTCTATTCTGTTCCGTTGATTTCTATGCCTATCTTGATACCAATACAACACTATTTTGATTACTATAGCTTAACAGGAAGTCTTGAAATCAGGTAGTAAGTTCTTTAATTTCTTTTTTAAAATTGCTTGGGCTACTCTAGTTTCTTTGCATTTCCATATACATTTTAAAATTAGGTTGTCACGTTTATAAAAATAAAGTCTGTTGGGATTTTAATTGGGATTTCCTTAGTTCTACACACCAATTTGGGGTGATAGCAATAAACATTTTATGATTTGTTACATTAAAATACATAGGTCTATCTTGCGGTTTGAATGAATTTTACCATACCTGATTTTGTGACATCATGCATCAGTCACTTGGAAAATATCAGATCACTGAGGCATGCAGAACTTCCATATGTTTACAAATTATATTATATTATTTATTTAAAAATATTCATTAATATCACTATCTCATTGGAATAGTCTAAGTATCAGGGAGCTTTCAAGCTCACAGTGGCACATACGTGTTTCTAAAAATTCTGACTTTTCATGGAAAGCTCTAATTTTATCATTGGCAATAAAGGCTTTCAGTTGTTTTCCTTGAAGTGTCAGCCTCACTTTTGGTTCCTTTTTCAGAAAAAAATCTGCCAGAAACCCAAGTATGAATCTTAGTTTGTTTGTCAGTTGCTCTTAAAAAAAAAAAAAAATGATGTTAAAAGACAGGGATTGTCAGAGTAGATCAAGAAACAAGACCCAATTATATGTTGCCTACAAGAAACTCCCTTTCACAATGGGGCCAATTTGAGGGTGGAGGGTGGTAGGAGGGTGAGGACTGAAAAACTACCTATTGGGTACTATACTGATTACCTGAGTGACAAAATTGTCTGTACACCAATCCCCCATGACATGCAATTTACCCACGTAACAAACCTGCACATGTACCCCTTGAAACTAAAAGTTGGAAAGGAAAAAAACCTCATGTTAAATATAAAGGCACATATAGATTAAAAGTGACAGGATGGAGAAATATATACCATGCTAACACTAATCAAAAGAGAGCAGGAGTAGCTATATTAACTTTAGACAAAGCAGGCTTCAGGCCAAGGAAAGTTAGCAGGGATAAAGAGACATAATAATCCTTAATTGTGTATGTCCCTTACAAAAGAGCATGAAAATATATGACACAGTAACTGATAGAATTGTAAGGATCCACCATTATATTTGGAGACTTTAAACAACCCTTTATTGGTAATTAATAGATTCAGCTAGCAGAAAATCAAATAAAAATGGTGTTCTATGAAACAAAACCAAACAATGGTTAGCACAGCTGGCAACTCAAACATAGACGCTTTGTCTTGAGACAACCATTGTATAGCTGACCCGGGAACAACATGGGTTTGAACTGAGCAGGTCCACTTATGCGCAGATTTTTTTCCATAAATATATTGAAAATTGTTTTGGAGATTTGCAATAACTTGAAAAAACTCAGACAAACCAAGTAGCCTAGAAATATCAAAAAATTAAGAAAAAGGTATGCCATAAATGCATAAAATATATGTAGATACTAGTATGTCATTTACTATCATAAAATATACACAAATTAGTGATAAAAAGTTAAAATTTATCAAAACTTATAAACACAAACACAGACCATATGTGTTCCCATTCCCAGTCAACAAAAATGTAAACAAAAGCAGTAAAGATGCACTGTTAAATCATAACTGCATAAAATTAACTGTAGTATATACTGTACTACTGTAATAATTTTGTAGCCACCTCCTGTTGCTATTTCAGTGAGCACAAGTGTTGTGAGTATCCACTTAAAATGCCACATGTGCAGTTTGTCTCTCTAGTAAATTTCGTATCACAGTAAAAAGTGGTCTCTTGTTCTTACATATTTTTCATCATGTTTAGTGCAATACCATAAACCTTGAATAACATTATGGGACTCCTATGAACCGCCACCAATAATGCTGGAAGTGCTCCCAAGAGAAGCAGAGAAAAGTCATGATATTAAAAGGAAAAGTGGGATGTTTTGGCTGGACACGGTGGCTCACGCCTGTAAATCCCAGCACTTTGGGAGGCCAAGGCAGGTGGATCACCTGAGGTTGGGAGTTCAAGACCAGCCTGGTAAACATGGTGAAACCCCATATCTACTAAAAATACAAAAATTAGCCGGGAATGGTGGCATGCCCCTGCAGTTCCAGCTATTCGGGAGGCTGAGGCAGAGGAATCACTTGAACCCGGGAGGTGGAGGTTGCGGTGAGCCAATATCACGCCACTGCACTCCAGCCTGAGCGACAGAGCGAGACTCTGTCTCAAAAAAAAAAAAAAAAGGAAAGGAAAG
Organism: Homo sapiens; assembly: GCF_000001405.40. Classification (NCBI taxonomy): domain Eukaryota; kingdom Metazoa; phylum Chordata; class Mammalia; order Primates; family Hominidae; genus Homo; species Homo sapiens. The sequence continues at coordinate 15,705,038 of NC_000006.12, forward strand.
AAAAGAAAAGTGGGCTGTTTTGTGTGTGCCATAGTCTGAGGTCTGCAGCTGTGACTCCCCACCATTTCAAGATAAATGAATCCAGTGTTCATTGTAAAAAAAGAAAAGGAAATTCATAATACTATCACTGCAGTTACACCAGCAGGCATGAAAACATTGTACTTTATGCAAATATCTTTTTCTCTTGTATTAAAAATGCAGCTTTTATGTAGGTGCAGGATTGCTATAAGAAACGCATACCTAAAGACCCTAATATGATTTGAAAAAACGCGAAGTCATTATATAACAACTTAAAGCAAAGGGAAGATGAAAGATCTAAAAGCTGAAGAATTTAATGCTGGTAAAGGATGGTTTGATAATTTTAGAAAGAGGCTTAGCTTAAAAAATGTCAAGATAACACAGAAGCAGCTTTTGTCTACCAAGATGAGCAGCAGGTGAGTTCCCAGACGCCATTAAGAAAACCAGTGAAGAGAAAAGATAACTGCCTGAATAGGTTTTTAGTGCCGACAAAAGTGCCCTATTATGGAAAAAATATCCACAAAGACATTTATTAGTAAGGAAGAGCAAACTGAGCACCAGGATTTAAGACAGGAAGGGATAGGCTAACTGTGCTGTTCTGTGCAAATTCAGATACGTTGATGATCAGGATGGCCCTTATCCATAAAGCTGCCAACTCCGAGGCTTACAAGAAATGCTTTGTACCTGAAGTCAGAAAGTACCCTGCCAGTAAGGAACTGCTCTTGGCCACCCAGAACCCCATGAGTTCAACATTGCAGTTGTCGAACTGGTCTACTTGCCCCAAACCCAGCGTCTCTAAATCAGTCTCTAGATCAGGGGTTCGTTAGGACCTTTAAGCTTTGTTACACATGGCACTCTATGGAAAGGATTGTCAAATGCTATAAAAGAGAATCTCAACAGAGAGAACATCGTGAAAGTCTGAAAGGATTACACCACTGAAGACACCATTGTTGTTACAGGAAAAGCCATGAAAGCCATCAAGCCCGTAATAATAAGCTCCTGCTGGAGAAAACTATATACAGCTGTAGTGCATAATGTCACAGGCTTAATAAGAGAGCCAATCAAGGAAATCATGAAAAAGATTGTGGATTTGGCAGAAAAGATGGGGGCTAGGGGGCGTGAAGTGTTTCAAGATACAGATCTTGGAGAAATTAAGGGCTAATAAACACCATGCCAGAATTAAAAGAAAATGAAGATGGAGATGAGAGCTTTTGAACCAGTGCCAGACAATGAGGAAGAAGATGTAGAAGAAGCAGTGCCAGAAAAGAAACTGACATTAGACATCTGGCAGAAGAGTTCGAATTATCCTGGACTGCTTTTGACTTCTTTTATGACATGGGCCCTTCTATGATACATGCACTGAAACTAAAAAAATGGTGGAAGAATTGGTACCATATAGAAACATTTTTAGAGAAACGAAAAAGTAAAAAGTCAGACAGAAGGAATGATGTAGTTCTGTAAAGTTATACCAAGTGTGCCTGCCTCTCCTGCCTCTCCTTCCACCTCCCCCACCTCTTCCACCTCTGCTACCCCACCCCTCCCTCCTCCTCCTCAGCCTACTCAACACGAAGACAATGAGGATGAAGACCTTTATGATGGTCCACTTCCACTTAATAAACAGTAGATTCCCCAAGAACTTAAGCACTAATAGCCTACTGTTGACTAGAAGCCTTACCAATAACATAAACAGTTCATTAACACATTTTTTAATGTTATATGTATTATATACTGTATTCTCACAATAAGATTAAGCTAGAGAAAAAGCAAATGTTATTAAGGTGGCTCATGCCTGTGATGCCAACACTTTGGGAGGCTAAGGCAGGAGGATGGCTTGAGTCCAGGAGTTCAAGACCAGCCTGGGCAGTATAGTGAGACTCTGTCTCTACAAAAAAACAACAAACAAAACCAAACCAAAACAAAACAACTTATATGTGGATTTTTGACTGTGTAGAGAAACCTCTGCATTGTAGTTTGGTAGGCAGCAGAAGTTGCTTTATGTGTGCTTCCCATTTCATCATGTAGAATAATCAGAAAGTCATGGATTTAAAGGTTGAGATTTAATAAAATCAATAATCTTTACTGCTGCAAGGACATTGTTAAGTACAACTTGTTTTTCTTATTATTTTTTAGTTTTTTTGCAAGAGTGTAGTGGTAAGAAATACAGTGACTACTAGTGTAGTTTGGTGCCCTGCCTCGATTTGTGTTAAGATGACTTCAGTTTTACTCATCATTGCTTTTGCATTATCATCACTAATGTCAATACAGTGGAAAAGGCAAATAACATGTTCGTATTATTATAAATACACTTTCGCCTTTGCAGACACTTTGTAATAGTTTCAGGGAACTCTCCTAGTGCTCCATGAACCACACTTTAAGAACCACTGCTTTGGCCAGGCGTGGTGGCTCACGCCTGTAATCCCAGCACTTTGGGAGGCTGAGGTGGGCAGATCACTTGAGGTCACTCGAGGTCATGAATTCAAGCCATGAAAGCCATCAAGCCCATAATAATAAACTCCTGATGGGTAAAACTATGTTCAACTGTTTTGCATAACTTCACAGGCTTAACAACAGAGCCAATCAAGGAAATCATGAAATTGCCCATGCCTGGGCAACATGGCAAAACCCTGTCTCTACTAAAAATACATGAAATTAGCCTGGTGTGGTGGCATGCACCTATAGTCCCAGCTACTCCAGAGGCTGAGGCACTGGAATCACTTGAACCTGGGAGGCAGAGGTTGCAGTGAGCCAAGATTACACCACTGCACTCCAGCCTGGGCCACAGAGCAAAACCCTGTCCAAAAAAAAAAGAACCACTACTTTAGGAGCACAAAAGGGCATTTACTACAACCTGTAAGAATTCTGGAGGCTTTTTTGAGAGAGGGAGGCCTGAGCTGAAGCTCCACGGACACATACGTAAGAAAGGGTTGGCTGTCTAGACACAGAACAGCAAGAGCAAAGCACAAAGTGTGAACAGGGCTCCCTTCCTTGGTTTTGGTTAAACAAAAGATGCAGTGAGGGCAAGGGCAGGAGCTGAGACACCAAGAGATCCAGAGGGCCTTGGATGCATCAAAGAAGCTGAGACTTTTTATCCTTCAGGTGATGGGGAGTTTTTGAAGATTTTAGGGCATGGGAGCGATAGAATTAGAGTTGTCTGTTAGCTCTGGCACTCTTAAAAGGATATGTTGAATAGATTTTGGAGGTTTGCATTGGAAAAAAGGAATTCAGTTAGAAGCCTGTGCAAAGTAAGAGATGATTTAATAGAACAGATGGTCAACTAATTGAACACTCAAAACCCCCATCCATTAATTCAGTCAGAGTATTCTAACTGGTGCACAGTTAGACTCAGGGGACGCAACTTGATATCACAGTTAATCCACGGATGCAGACTCAAATGATAAAATGAAAGAAGCCTTACAGATCGTGTTTCTATTATCTGTGTCCTTCCAGACCCTCAAAATAAAATTCCCATGGCCCCTGCTCAGCTTAATCATTTCCTACAATGATTAGAAAACCGAGAGCAAAGAACAGGGGTAGGAACGGGTCTGCAAGCTATGTTTGTTTTTCAAAAGAGCATAATTGGTATAGTACTATAGAGATTTGAGATCATAGAATCAGTTGATTTTTAGGGATTAACTATGATGTGCATGTTTCTGTGTATGTGCATGCAATGCATATGTGTCCGTATATTTACAGTCATACATCACACAATGATGTTTCCATTAACAGCAGACCACATATATGACAGTGGTCCCATAAGATTATAAGACCTTATTTTTACTGTATCTTTGCTATGTTTAGATTCCTAAATCCTTACCATTGTGTCACAACTGTCTACAGTATTCAGTTGAGTAACATGCTGTACAGGTTTGTAGCTTAGGGGCAACAGGCTATACCATCTAGCCTAGGTGTGTAGTACACTACACCATCTAGGTTTGTGTAAGTAAACCTGATGATGTTCACACAACAACAAAATTACCTAACAACACATTTTTCAGAAGGTATCCATCCCTATTGTTAAGCAACATGTATTTATAGATTCCGACATTGAACTATGCTGCTACAGCCCAACCTAAATCTCCATCAACTCTTTTTTTTTTTGTGACAGAGTTTCGCTCTTGTCATGGAGGCTGGAGTGCAATGGCGCCATCTCAGCACACTGCAACCTCTGGCTCCTGGTTTCAAGCGATTCTCCTGCCTCAGCCTCCCAAGTAGCTGGGATTACAGGCGCCTGCCATGACGGCTGGCTAATTTTTTGTATTTTTAGTAGAGACGGGGTTTTGCCATGTTGGGCAGGCTGGTCTCGAACTCCTGACCTCAAATAATCCACCCACCTCGGCCTCCTAAAGTGCTGGGATTACAGGTGTGAGCCACCACCCCCAGCCTCCATCAACTCTTGTCTGGACTTCTGTGATGACCCCTAACTAGTCTCCTTGCTTCCTACCCTTCTTCAATCCATTTTATGCACAGCATCTACAGTGATCTTTTAAAAATATAAATCAGATCATATAATATGTCTGCTTTTAATCCTCCAGTGACTGCCTATTCCACTTAGAAAAAAATCCAAAATCCTTATGCTGTTTTGCAAAGCTCTACATAACTGGACCTGCCTGCCTGCCTGCCTCTCTGACCTCTTCTATCATTCCTTGCCTTGCTCCACAAAGTCTAGTCATGCCAGCCTTGGTGTGTTGCTATCTCGGGGCCTTTGCACTAGCAGTCATTGCTATAAGGGATACTATTTCTCCAGAGCCTCACATGAATTTTAGGTTCTATCAAATTATGAGGAAGCCCTAGGGTAGCCTCTCTGTCAACCCCCACCTCTTGCTCTGTTTCCTGTTCCTCATAGTCTAGCTGGAGCAGCTCCTGGAACATTGCCTGGTATGCAATAGGTTCTCAATAAATATTTGTGGGATAAGTGAATGGATGGATTATAGGTACATTTTCTCTTCTTGTTGTTACTTTTAATGGTTTTCACAAAACTATAACAGCAAATAATTTCAAGTTTAGAATTAGTTTAGCACCATGTTTTGAATGCCAGATAGCCCGCTGGTCCCCCTCCCCTTCCTCTTCCCCTTCCCATTCCCTTCCCCTCCCTCCCTCCCTCCCCTCCCTCACTCACTCCCTTCCTTCCTTCTTTCCTTCCTTCCTTCCTTTCTTCCTTTCTTCCTTCCTTCCTTCCTTTCTTCCTTCCTTCCTTCTTTGTTATTGGTCAGGGTTCTATTCCTTCTAAAACCATGTAGTAGAAATTAAAATTACTTAGAAAGGGCATAGATGACTTTCTTTTAACTAGTGTTACGGGTTGAAATGTGTCTATCCCCAAATTCACATGTTGAAGTCCTAACTCTCAGAATGTGGCTTTATTTGGAAATAAGATTGTTGCAGATATAATTGGTTAAGATGAGGTCACAGTGGAGTAGGATGAGCCCCTAATCCAATATAACCAGTGTTCTTATAAAAAAAAAAAGAGGGACATTTGGACACAGACACACATACAGGGTGGGGGTGCCATGTGGAGATGAAGGCAGACATTGGGGTGATGCACCTACAAGCCAAGGAACATCAAAGATTGCCACCAAACCACCAGAAGCTATGGGGGAGGCATGAAATAGATTCTTCTTCATAGCCTCAGAAGAAAGTAACTCTGCTGACACTTTGATTTTGGACTTCTGACTTCTAGAACTGCGAGACAATAAATTGTTGTTGTTTAAACCACCTGCTTATCAGTAGGTTGTTATAACAGCCCTAGGAAACTAATACAACCTGTTAGAGGCATCAGTTATGGTTATAGAGCAAGAGAATTCATCTCTACATTTATGAGATAGCAATGTTTCCCTCTTTTTTTTTTTTTTGAGACAGGGTTTCACTCCTGTCACCCAGGCTGGAGTACAGTGGTGCAATCTCGGCTCACTGCAACCTCCACCTCCCAGGTTAAATCAATTGTCCTGCCTCAGCCTCCTGAGTAGCTGGGACCACAGGCATGCACCACCACACCCAGCTAATTTTCATATTTTTTTGTAGAGACTGAGTTTCACCATGTTGGCCAGGCTGGTCTCAAACTCCTGGCCTCAAATGATCTGCCCACCTCGGCCTCCCAAAGTGCTGGGATTACAGGTGTGAGCCACCGCACCTGGCCACATCAACGTTTCCCTCTTTAGAGAAAGAGAGGAAGAATAAATCATAAAAATCTTGCAATCTGGGGGACACAAATATATAAACAAATTATTACAAAATATGACAAAAACTGTAATCAAGCACAAAGTGCCATGAGAACACAGTGGCAGGAGCTGCTTTCTGTGCCCAAGGAAGTCAAGGAAAGTTTCAGAAAAGAGATGGCAGTTCATATGGGTCATAAAGGATGTGGAGTTTTCTTTTCTTTTTTTTTTTTTTTTTTTTGAGACAGAGTCTCTCTCTGTCACCGAGGCTGGAGTGCAGAGGCGCAATCATAGCTCACTGCAGCCTTGGCTTCCCAGGTCCAGTGATCCTCCCACCTTAGCCTCCCATGTAGTTGGGACTACAGGTTCCTGCCACCACACCCAGCTAATTGTTTTTTATTTTTTGTAGAAACAAGGTCTCGCTATGTTGCCCAGGCTAGTCTCAAACTCCTGGGCTCAAGTGATCCGCCCGCCTTGGCCTCCCAAGGAGCTGGGATTACAGGTGTGAGCCACCACACCCAACCAGGATGAGGAACTTTCTAAGTAGAGATGGAAAGAAAAGGCACCGCAGGCACATGGAACAGATTACAGAAAGCCACAGATGTGTAGGAAAACATGTAGAGGGAAGTAAGTATCATGTAGAAAACATCTTTTTCCCTCCAGGCACCCACAAATCAAGAGTTTAGGTTTTCTAGTATTCCTCTAACCATTTTGAAACTGTTAAAGCAGTAGGATCATTTTCCCCCTAAAAGAAATCTCATCTACCCCAATGTATGAAACAACCTCTTTGGGTGAGGAAGGCCTAGGAGTTTCTGCGGTGGTTCCTGAGTTCTCTGTGTGAAGTAATGGGCCACTTTGGGAACCAGAGCTTTTAAACAAAACAATTTGAAAGCTGCTGGCTTTTACTCTTTTTAAGCAGATGTAGGTGGAAGCTGTGGGGGCTATGAAAATGCCGCAGTCAATTCTGCTGCAGGGAGCAGGAGTGACAGATGGGAATCCCCTATAGTGCTTGCTTGAGTCTACACCCCCTGGGCTGCTCAACTAAGTGCCACAGGGCTGCTAATGCAGGGCTTCTCTGGGGGACTTCGCTGGTGGGCAACTTTGGCCCAAAGACGTCCCATCAACCTGGCTGAGATTTTCTTGGAACTGTGCTGCCATCCGAGACTGCCTATCCAGCACCCCTTATTACGTCCTTCTCATCCTTCCCAGCTCCCCTCACTTCCTGCAGCTCCCTCTCCTTTTTCCCTCCTTGGCATTTCCCTCAATAAATCTCCTGCCTGTCTAATCCAGACTTGGCATCTGCAGAGGACCTGATCTAAGGAAATTAAACAAGAGGTCTGCATTATCCTTACCATTGAGTATTTCCAGATTAGCTAACCTAAGAGTTCCAAATTGCACTGATATTGTTGCGATACCAATAAAACCCAATAAGGAGGAGGAGAGGATTGAGAAAGGAACACCTAGGCATTCTGTTGTGTTCTCAAAGCTTGCAAATTGATCATGAGTGACATCAAAAAGCTAAGACTGGGCAGATTGAAATACTTGAACAGATATTAAATAGCCAAAGTAGAATTAAAGAATAGTTACTGGAGGCTGTTTTTACACCCACACAACCTGGCAGATCACTGCTGTACAGTCTTTGTTGCAAAAAATACTACAGAAATATGGTTCTTTGAAAACATCTTCTGTGCCTGTATAAATGACATAGGATCCGGAGGCATTTCTGCAAATAATATGTTTTCCTGTGCCAGTGTATAAATAGCTGTAGAGTAATGAGAGTAAGAGAAAGTTGCCAAGACTATTGCTACACTGACAAGAGAAGCAGCAGACTTGGAACTTGCACCATTATTTGCTGCTAGTCCTAAAGTTTAATGAGACTGCACACAAATGTTGTTTTCACATGACCAGATAAGAGGGCAGATGCTGCCATCTCTGATGACATAGAAAAGGCCAGAATAGGGCCTTTCCAATGTACCTGCCCTTTGGGTGAGGTTTCCCTTCCACACAAGTGCTTTCCTTCTATAGGAAAATATTGCTTTTTAAAATGATGATCAAATTCAGGCCTCTACAGCTTTTAATGCCATAGTGTCCTGGTGATCTTCCTGGACTGAATTGTCCTCTCTTGGCCAAAGATACCTCCATTTTTCCTTTCTACCTTTCGGCAAGACTTACAAAAGGGAGAGAGGAATCTACAGAAAACAGGAAAATCTAGGATGTCCTGGCATACCCTGGAGATTTGCATCACTAAATATGCAGATTCCCTGACATTCCTACAGTGGCCCTTGCCATCAGTTTGGACTTTGACTGTGTCATTACTATTGTCTGCATGCCTCTGCAAATTCATGTGTTGACACTTAATCCTCATTGTGGTGGTATTAAGAGGCGGGACCATTTGGGAACAGAGTAAGTCATGAGGACTCTGCCTGCATGAATGGGACTAGCGACCTTATAAAAGGGGCTGGAGGGAACCAGTTTAGGCCCCTTTTTTGCCCTTCTGTTCCTTCTATCATGTGAGAACACAGCATTCAAGATGCCTTCTTGGAAGGAAACACCAGAGCCCTCACAAGACACTGAACCTCCCTGTGGCTTGAACTTGTACTTCCCAGCCTCCAGAACTATGAGGAGTGAAATTTCTGTTCTTTATATAATAAATTACCCAGTCTCAGGTATTTTGTTATAGAAGCACTAGTGGATGGAGACACCATTCCTTCATTTATACTTTAATTCGTATAATAAACATTTCTTGTCAGTTTACTGTGTGCAGGCATGATGCAGTGCACTGAGGATAGCAACGAACATGGCTGGCAAAGACCCTTGCTCTCTGGTAGCACATGCTCTTGGTGGGAAGGAAGGTGGTAAATATACAACATAATGGGAATATGAGTGATGAGAGGGAGTGACTGGGAAGAGAGTGGCTATTTTTGATAGGGTGGTCAGGGATGACCTGTCTGAGAAGCTGTCGTGGGAAGACTGTGGAGAATGGGTAAAATCAAGTGCAGACACTTAGCTGGACATGAACGTGGTCTCTCCATTGGAAAGAAGGCTGATAGGGCTGGATCACAGTGAGCGCAAGAGTGCAGTGGGAGATGAGGTCAGTGTGAAAGGCTGGGCCCAGTCAGATAGGGCTTTACAGGCCCAGCAGGGTTAGGAGTTTGGGCTTATTCTAAGTGTAAGGGGAGTTCACTGGAGTTGTTAGTTCTTTTGTTTTGTTTTTTGTTTGTTTTCAGATATAGATATTTTAAATGTGAGATGTTTCTCTCAAGGATCTGAACACTTACATTTTTTGAATCATCAATTGCCCTGATTTGTTATGGGACTTCCTTCCTTTTAGAATGTGTCTTTGTGTCCTCAAAGTCTAGCACATCACCCACCTAGGGTGTGTGAGTGCTCAATAAGCACTGATTAAATGAAATTGTTATTGAGTATGAGAAGGACAAGGCTTTGGTTAAAAAATAATCAGTGTGAAATATGAATATTTAATAGGTTAGCAGAAGATGGGACCCAAAGGGAAGAAAGCAAAGAAGTTCTTGTGTTATGACAAGTTCCTAGTGAAGAGATACGAATTGACTACTAAAGTTAATGCAGCAAATTCAGAATACTGAAATTCAAAGTGAGACCCAGGAAACAGGCAGAGTTGTAAAAGTGTTTCAGTGACCTCCAGGATGTGTGCCATATTTGTCTTCTCACTGGTTGTGATTTTGTCTCCTTATTGGGAAGGCAAAGGAACCTGAACCTCTCTCCCTGTTTTGGCTTATTAGAAGGCAAGGTGAACACTTGTCCTTCTTTATGGCCGTCCAGTATGAAACCTTTTCCTATGTTTGGATTTTCCCACCTTGTGTCAGTGAAATACAGAATGTACCTTCCACTACAGAAACAGAAGGCTCAGGTACTTGCTTACTCAGTCTCCTCTCCTTACAGGTGTGAGTCATGGATTCCACTCATGAAATGAAGTCATGAAGTCAGGGAACCATAAGAAACTCTCCAGTGTCTCAGTATCAAAGGCAGCAGAATGATCAAGCTTTGGTAGTAGCAGTGCCAGAGGGGCTGGAAGAGCCCAGTGTCCAGTTAGATTGTTGCCTATGCAACTGTCTCTGAATGAGTACTTTTCCTGGCTGCCGAGCCACACACTTGACTCATCAGCCTTCTTAGCGATTCTGTGAGCCACGTGATAGTCATTCATAAATTCATTGTCTGCTTCAATCAGACAAAGTTTTTTTCTAGTTTTTGAAATTAAGAACTCTAAATGATCCAGGAATTAGAACCAGAAATGGATTGGTTGCAGACCACAGGGCCTTAGAGAAACATGGGATGTATACGGAAATATGGGACTGTTGTTATCTGGCCTGATTGAGGTTGAAGGCAAAGACAATGCAGCTGGTGTGATTAAGGGTTCTTGTCATGATCTAGAGAACCAGTTAATCAAATTGTCACCTGTGTGCACCTAGACTGAATTGCCCATTGAAGGCCAAGCTTTGGGGAACTAAGAGATCAATTCTATTGAATAATACGAAGGACACAGGGAGTTCAATGACTGTGGGATGAGATGGCTTCTCCTAATTGTAATGGATAGCTTCAATAAAAAGAAAAACCTACACAAATTCCTAAGTTCTCAGTTCAAAGTATGTGCTAAAATCCAGAGGCTTCCTTGGGATCATTATAAGAATATCTTATCTTTTGCTGTTGAAATGTGGAGAAAGTCAAATACAAAATGCACAGTTTGATCTCCAAAATTTCTGAATTAAAAAGAGTTGAATTCACATCCTCAGCTGGTCTCTTAGGAGAAAGTTGAAGCACTGACTTGCGGGAGAGTGGGCCTGGAGAATTTGAATGGGAAGACATAGATGATTCATGTAGGCCATGGCCAGGCATGCCTCAGTGAAACCACGAGAAGACCCAGTTACCTAATTCAAAAATAGAATGCAGCAGTGTGTAATTGCGGAACATAGGAATTTTCTTATATTCCTCTAATATATCCATATTAATGAGATGGACACTTGAATACAAATGTATTCCTCCATGTCTCCAAGAGAGTAAGACAGTATAAATGGAAGATCAAAATCCTTACTTCATGAGGACTACTGAGACTACCAACTTTTGGCAAATTTTAAAATTTTGTTCTTTGCACTCCCGTTTGCTGGTTTAAAAATAAAACCAAGTTAAATAACTTAAGCCAAATCCGAATAATCATTCTTACCAGTTTTCAAACATATATACCAGCCTTTGTTATCCAACCCAGTTTACTCAGAATATCCTGAATCTTGAATCCCCACTGAGTATCTTTGCTTTTTCTCTCTATCCCTGTAAGTGGGGGACATAGGGAGTTTGTTTTCATCTGGCAGAGTAAACAATATCCTTTCACCACAATGCCTTAGGGTTATGCCCGTTTTCTGACTTTATCTCAAATTCAGTCCACAGAATGTGGAGCTGGTTCACTATAGCTAATGACATTGTACTGATAAACTTGGAAACAGGAAGCAACATGCAGACTAGGTGCCTCGGAAAATCCTGTGTGTCAGAAGGTGGCGAATAAATTTCATGAAATTATGGGGCCTGTTACCTTAGTAAAATTCCATGTGTGTGTGTGTGTGTGTGTGTAAGAGAGACAGAGACAGAGCATGCATGTGTGTGAGAGTGCCTGGAGAATGTTGGAATAGTTTCCACAAAATGAAGGAGAAGTAGCTGTCCATCGCACTTCATGCCACTGATAAAGAGAAAGATCATCTTTTATAGGTGTTTTTGAATTTTGGAAATAATACATACCACGTTTGGATCCTATGGCAGACAACTACTAACTGTTTACCAATATGGATTTCTCCTTTTTAACAGAACCCCAATTCTGTTTGGGCAGCAGTGTATCCAGTTAAAAATATTAGACTCCCTTGCAGCTAGGAATCAACAAGTATCAAAGTCTGGTTACTGTGACATGCTCTCTAGATTTCTGGAAAAGGTGCCACCTCTTCCTATCTCCCTCCCTTCTCCTATCTGGAGCTGGGGTAGCCATCCTGTGCCCATGAACCCAAAGAAATCAGCTGAGCACAGATCATAAGTGCAGGATGGTAGAGCAGAAAGATAGAAGGATCCTGACACACTGTTGCAATCTACCTCCAGACTCCTTAGTATGTGACAAAAATCAACCTCTATTTGGTTAAACTATTATGGTTGGATTTGTTGCTCCTTATACAAAGGTATTATATGGACTCATTTATCGGGTGACCAGCAAGGCTGTTAGCTTTGAGTGGGGCCCACAGCAAATCTCTCCAACTTGTCAAGGCATTGATACAAAGCGGTTTTGCCCCTTGCCCCTTATTACCAGAGGATCCAATGATGCTCAAAGTGCTTGTGGCAGAAAATATATCGTATGGACCCTTTGGAAAAGTCTGGTAGGAAAATTACAGGGAAGGTCCTTTGGGTTTTAAAGTCACATCCCACTGGACAAGTTATAATTCTTGAGAAAAAGCTTGTAACTTGATAATGAATTCTGTTTCTGGGCTCTGTTCCATTAGTCTGTCTATCTCTAAGCCAATACTATACTCTCTTGGTTTTATACATTTATAAATTCTTGCTATCTGGTGGAGCTATCCTTTCACTTTGTTCTTCAAGAGGATTTTAACTATCTTGGCCATTTGTGTTTTTACTTAAATTTTAGAATCAACTTGTTGAGTTTCATAAAAAAAAGATCTGTTGGAGTTTTGACTGAGATTGCACCAAATCTATTAAACTGGGGAGAACTGGCATGTGTATTCCAATCTATGAGAATACCTTGTCTCTCTATTTGTGTAGTCTTTAAGTTCTCTAAAAGATGTTATAGTTTTCTCCATAATCTTATATATTTTCTGGTAGATTACTCCTTGACATCTACTATTTTTAATGCTACTACAAATAAGAAATTAAAAATTGTTTATTTTCTAATTATTTGGTGGCTGGTATTCAGAAATAAGATTCATTATACAGACAGTAATTTTGTGTAAAGCAAATTTGCTAAACTCTCTAATTCTTATAATTTCTCTGGATTCTTTCAATTTCTCTAGACATAATTTTCTTATCTGAAAAATAATGAAAGTCTTTTCTGACAATTCTTAAAACTTTCCCTTATAAATTAGCTGGGTGTGGTGGCGGGTGCCTGTAGTCCCAGCTACTCAAAAGGTTGAGGCAGGAGAATTCTTGAACCCGGGAGGCGGAGGTTGCAGTAAGCCGAGATTGCACCACTGCACTCTAGCCTGGGCGGTAGAGTGAGACTCCGTCTCTAAACAAAAAACAAAAACAAAATCAAAACCAAAAAACAAAACAAAAAAATCTTCCCTTATTTAACCTGCTCTTACTAGGAACTAGATTAATGCTAATTAGAGAAGTTTTACCAGAAATCTTTGTTTTGTTTTTGATCTCGAAGGGAATGCTTTCAAAATTTTACCATTAAATATGAGGTTTTCTTTGTTTCCCTATATACTAAGAAGAGGTGTGTGTGTGCATGTGTGTGTGTGTTTGCATGTACATGTGTATTTAAATGTAATAGATGTTGCCCGATTGCTTTCCCAAAAAGCCGAAATAATTAACATTTCTATCAATTAGCATTTTTGCCAGTGATAGGCATTATAATTCTTTAAAACATTTGCCATTCTGTTGGGAATAAAAGATACCTTATAATTTTATTTTAATTTGCATTTTCTCAACTGCTAGCAAGTTTGATCTTCTCATACGTTGCTGACCATTTGAATTTGTCCTCTTATGAACAGTCTCTTCATGTCCTTTGCCAAAGTTTTTGTTTGTTTATTCCTTACTTTTAATTTGAAAGAAACTTTTGCATGGTATAACTAACCTCATATGTCCTCTGAATTGCAAGTACTTGTCCAAGCTTATAACTCTTTAAGGTTTTTTTTTTTTTTTTTGAGATGGAGTTTCACTCTTGTTGCCCAGGCTGCGGTGCAATGGCATGATCTCGGCTCACTGCAACTTCTGCCTCCAGGGTTCAAGTGATTCTTTTGCCTCAGCCTCCCGAGTAGCTGCGATTACAGACGTACGCTACCACGTCCAGCTAATTTTGTATTTTTAATAGAGACAGGGTTTCTCCATGTTGGTCAGGCTGGTCTCGAACTCCTGACCTCAGGTGATCCACCCGGCTCAGCCTCCCAAAGTGCTGGGATTACAGGCGTGAGCCACTGTGCCCGACTCTTATGTTTTTAAGCTATAAAATTGTTTTAAATTTATGATAAAATCTCTATTTTTTATTTTGTGTCATCTGTTTTTCCAATCTTGTCCACATATTGTCTCCTAAATTTTCTTGCAGAATTTTAAGTTGTTAATATTCTACATTTAAGTCTTTTAGCCATTTAGCCTGAAATTTGTCTTCATATATGGTAAAACAAAGAGATCTAATTTAATTTTCTTCCACTTAGATTATTTGTATCACCACCATTTATTAAATAATGCATTATTTTCCCACTTAGATAAAATGCCATCCTTATCATATATTAAATTCTCATATGTAATTGGATTTAAATTTCAGGTTGTCCTGTTACATTTTGTGTTCAATGCCAATAAAATGTTTATTAAAGCAGATTATTGTATGTTCTTATAATTATTGAAGCATGTCCTCACCCCCTTCACTAACCTTCTTTTTCATATTTTTTCTTGGTTATTCTTAGGTACTTATCCCCTGGTATAAACTCTAAGATCATTTATTTAATTATCCTTTCCTCCTTTCTTCCCCTTTGCCAAGAAAGAACCCCGTTGGAATTCTAACTGGAATTTTATTAAGTTTACATATTAATTAGAGAGATTGACATTTTTATATTAACATTTTTTCCATCCAGAGTCATAGTTTGCTTTTCTATTTGTGCATATCTTAGTTTATATCAAGATTTTTATAATTTCCTATACTCTGATTTTAAAATTTACTCCTAAGCATTTTAAAGTTTTTATCTTTATTGTGAATGAATTTTTCTCATATCCATTTTTATTTCCAGTACAAAGATTACTGGTTTTTGTACACTTATCTTTTATCCAGCCACCTTACCTAGTTCTCTTGCTAAGCCCAATAATATTTTTGTAATAGAGTCCCTTGGATTTTCTATTTCTACCTTTTCTTTTCCAACGTTTATGTTATTTCATTTTTAAATCTTTTTTCAATTGCTAAAATTTCCAAGACAATGTTAAATAATGCTAATCTAGTTTCTGACTTTAATAGAAATAGTTATAGTCTTTTATCATTTAGTATGCTATTCAGTTTTAATTTTTGGCAATTAGTCTTTATTATACGTATTTCCTTCTACCTCTGTCTGACTTTGATTTTTTACAAAGATTAAGTGATACATTTTATCAAATGACCTTTTCCATCTATTGACATAAGCATTTGCCTTTTTCCCTTTAGTTTACTTATGTAATAATGTTAACAGACTTTTTGATACTCATTCACATGTTAATTTACACAGTAAGTCTTGATTTATTATTTTTAATTTTAAAATGTATACTGTTTCATTTCTTTCAATATGTTGCTGGATTTTATTTGTTAAGGTTTTATTTAGATGTCATAATTTCTGGATTCAGTCCTGTTATCCTGCTCCTTAAAAAAAGATAGAATTTCTATACGCATGAGATTAATCCCAAATTTTATTGTTTCATAATAATTTTCCTGGTTTATTATTAAAGTTATTTAGTTTTCATAATAAATTGGAGGAGTTTTCATCTTTTTATAAGGACTGGAATATTTTAGATGCCATTGGAATGACCTGTTCTTAAGAGGTTAAAACTCAGCTGCGAAACCATCCAATCTGGATGCTTTGTTCGTCCAGTGATGGATCTAAAATTATTTTCCAATATCTGCTATGGTAACTGGTTTCTTTCAAGCTTTCTTTTTATTACTGGGTTTTCTAATTTTATTTTTGCTAGAAAATTATTTCTTCTAGATTTAAAAATGTTTCATCATAGAGTTGTATGTAATAGTTATTTATAATATGTTTAATCTCTCCTGTATCTATGGTTTTAGAGGTGTTTATTATTTCTTTCAAAGAACTAGCTTTTGGATTTATCTGTTTTTGTTCATTTTTATTTTCATAAATTTCTGCTTTGTCTTCTTTATCAAATCATTCTTTCTAGTTTTTTAAACTTTTTTTGATGTAATTTGGAAAATTTCTTAAGATCCCAATAATCTATAAATAAGATTTTTTTGTTGGTCAAATCCACCAAGATTAATTTTTATTGTTTACAACTAGAATCCATAGTTCTAGTTGTCAAAAAGTGTCTAAGTAAGATGAAAGGACTAACACATGAAGAAAGCCAGGAAGAAAACTTCATAAGCGAAGTGAAAAATTCTATTAAATGTATCAAGGAGGTGAAAGGCAAGAAGAAAGTACTCTTTATCCTTTGGGGCAGTGTTTCTCCACCTAAAAAAGATTATTATTTCCCCTAAAGGAGAAAAATTAAATCAATGAATTATTTAAGTTTAAAATTAAATGCAATTTTTCTCCAACAAGAGAAATTAAATACTAAGGAATAAGATGTTTTCAGATAGGGTTGAGCTTTGGAGGATTCCCAAACTTAAAAATCTAAGTTTTTTTCCCCTATTCTTCCCTCCCCACCAAGAACAATTTTTTTCCCTCTTGGAGGCAATGTTACCTCCACTGAGAATTCATGCTTCGAGGTATAGGTATAAGACAGAAGGAAACTTTGCCCCATAGTGGGTTATTTCAGATATTCAGAAAGAGAATAATACCTAAGGTTCTGGAGAAACTTAAAGATTCTTCAGCACTAGCAGATTTGAGAAATCCCCTTCAGACCTCCACAAGAAGAAATAAGGTCTCTGGTGTTCGCTAATAGGTCTGGAGGTAACCAAATGTAGATCTGTGTCAGTTCAACAGAGGTTGGGGGGTGTATCTGAGACTTAATGGAAAGCCAATAGAGACTCAGATGGAATAACTTGGCCATTAGAAGTAATGTGGAATATATCTTCAACAACTCTGATGCCCCTGTTAGGAAACTAAAGAAGTGAATGGATCACAGGTGGTGGTTACATTTCTTTCTTTTATTTTTTCTTTTTCATTGAAGATCTTGAATGTGCAAGATAAATGAAGATGTTGGAAGTAAACATTTGCCATAGAAATGGTATAAAAGAATAAGATTTAACTTTGTGTATGGAGTTTGGCTTTTGAACACCAATAATTTGGCTGGTGGTTATGGCTGATAAAGTAATGTCATATTGAAATTTGAGGTGTGAGAACCAAAAATCTGGAATTATGAATATGACAAAGAAAGATTAGTAGTAAAAGAAGTTTCTGTAACTCAATAAGGAAACAAGAGGTGTTTTGGGGAGATATTTACACCCTCCTGTGAATACCAATACACACAGTAAAGACAAAAAGAGTGAGCTTGAAATTCAACCACTAGGTAAAATTCTATTTTATCAATACTACTAAATTTAACAGGTATATCTGTAAAGAGGTTGTATTAGTCTATTCTCATGCTGCTAATAAAGACATATCCAAGACTGGGTAATTTATAAAGGAAAGAGGTTTAATTGACTCACAGTTCATCATGGCTTGGGAGGCCTCAGGAAACTTACAATCATGGTGGAAGTGGGAGCAAACACATCCTTCTTTACCTGGTGGCAGGGAGGAGAAAAATGAGTGAAGGGGAAGAAAGCCCTTTAAAAAACCATCAATCTTCTGAGAACTCACTATCATGAGAACAGCATGGAGGTAACCGCCCTCACGATTCAATTACCTCCCACTGGGTCCCTCCTAAGACATGTGGGCATTATGGGAACCACAGGATGAGATTTGGGTGGGGACACAGCCAAACCATATCAGAGGTATAACTTTTCAAAGTCATAGTCTAGGAGAAGAGACAGGAAGTAGCACTGCATGTCAACAGGGAATGCAACTATGCTGGCTTGGGGCTTGTTTGCCTTTTGATTCACCTCTTGCTTTCCCCCAGCTCTGCTCTATAATACAAGGGGACGACTCCCACAGCCTGTACCTCTCAGGCTCTCACGTTTCCCAGTTAGGTTTGTCCAATGGGAGGTACTGGTAGGGAGACTGGAAGATGGGAAAAAGGGTGAAGCTAAGGTAATTTTTTCTCCTCTCTTTGCCATGGCTGTGTATTTCCTGTGGCTCCAACTCCTGCTGAATGCTGGCTCACTGTAATTTCAGCTTTCAGTGGGCTATCCTAGTGTCTGCACTCTGGTAACATGACCTCCTCCCTTTGTTCTTCCAGCCTATGGGTATTAATGGCTTCCATCTCTAATGTCTCAGTTGCCTCACAGTTCCCTATTGTCTTCTCAGTTCTCCCACCATCTGTGTAACTGATTCCCTACAATGACTATCCTGTTTTTAGATACTCAGACCCTAACTAATAGAGCAACTAATTGGAAGACCCCCAAATTTAGCATGGATGCATACTGGAAAGCATTTTTGATCAATGAAAGAAGAGACAAAAGTGATTGTAATTACAGAAGTTTATTTCAGACTGCTTAGACAGAGGGAGGGGACAGACAATAGCTTACCCTTAGAAATCATAAACAAGTGCATCCACAATACTTTGCTTATATCTTGGTCTATGTTGTCAATGTGTATTATTAGTTTATACATTTGATTCCCTTAGTAGGCAATGAAAGTAGGTCCAGAATCATATTCAACTCTCATATACCAAGTTCTAAGCTCAATGCCTAGCACTTAGCAGGTGCTCATACATGCATGTAGAACAAATGAAGGATAATGCAGGTCTTCAAGCCTTAAATTATTTTTAAGATTCAGTCTCTTTATATAAGTTCCTAGCCTGGGGTCCATAGGGAGACTTCAGGGAGCCCACAAACTAGGATGATAAAAAAATCACATCTTTTTTTTTTTTTTTTTTTTGAGACAGAGTCTCACTCTGTCACCCAGGCTGGAGTGCAGGGGTGCGAACTCGGCTTACTGCAAGCTCCGCCTCCTGAGTTCATGCCATTCTCCTGCCTCAGCCTCCCGAGTAGCTGGGACTACAGGCACCCGCCACCATGGCTAATTTTTTGTTTTTCATATTTTTAGTAGATACGGGGTTTCACCGTGTTAGCCAGGATGGTCTCAATCTCCTGACCTTGTGATCTGCCTGCCTTGGCCTTCCAAAGTGCTGGGATTACAAGTGTGAGCCTATGCGCCCGGCCTTTTTTTTGTTTTTAATGGAGTCTCACTGTGTTGCCCAGGCTGGAGTGCAGTGGCACAATCTCGGCTCACTGCAACCTCCGCCTCCTGGGTTCAAGTGGTTCTCCTGCCTCAGCCTCCCAAGTAGCTGGGATTACAGGCGCACTCTACCACACCCAGCTAATTTTTGTGTTTTTAGTGGAAACGGGGTTTCACCATGTTGGCCAGGCTGGTCTCAAACTCCTGACCTCAAGTAATCCGCTCGCCTCGGCCTCCCAAAGCACTGGGATTACAGGCGTGAGCCACCATACCCAGCCAGAAAAAATTACATTTTTATTTCCCCTAACTTTTAAGGAGAAATTTAGCATTTTCTTCAGTTATGAATGCAGGAGACTATCCCCAGTAGTTTTTGGAGTACCCATCACCAATAGAATTCACAGATACTTTTGTAGCACATTTCGTTTGTTGCAACTATCTCGAAATTTATTGTTTATACCCAGAAACTGCCACTATATCTTGCTATTCAATGTGTTAATAACATTACTGTATCACACATTTGTTTTTTAAATCGTTCTGATAACTGTATTTCAATATGATTGGTTTCCTTTGTAATTTCTAATTTTTTTTTTAATTTAAAAACATGAATCTGAGAAGGTGAACATAAGCTTCATGAGACTACTAAAGAGGTCTATGGCTCAAAAAAGGTTGGAATGCCCTGCAAACTTTCTAAATTGGACTTTGCTGTTAGATTCAAATCCCAATTCTGCGTCTTAACAAGTTGCATCTGCTTGAGCTAAGCACAAGTTCCTCATTTGTGAAGTGGGGTGACAATAGCAACTAACTCCTAGGAATGTTGCATGTCATTAAATGGCAAGTGTTTAGTTTCATACCTGGCACAATTAGTATTAGCTATCTAGGCATATAAACTGTAAGTCACACCAGACGAAAAGTAGAGTGTTTGGCAAAGAATGGCTTGTCAAGCTAGGGTCTTAATTTGAAGACTGTGAAAGGAGGACTTATCTTATGCATAGGTTGACAAAATAGGCCAAGTCTGCTGGGCCACTTAAAACAATGGGGTTTAACATCCCTGATATTTGTCACTACATCTATAGGGAACACATTAATGAACCAATTAATTACAAAAAGGATTTTACTTCTTTGTAAGAAACTATTCTTTAGGGGCCCTTTTAGGAATCTAAAAGCCAGGAGGCACTTAAAACTTGCTGTTCACCTAGTCTTTATTTTATTTTATTTTATTTTATTTTTATTGATCATTCTTGGGTGTTTCTCACAGAGGGGGAATTGGCAGGGTCATAGGACAATAGTGGAGGGAAGGTCAGCAGATAAACAAGTGAACAAAGGTCTCTGGTTTTCCTAGGCAGAGGACCCTGCGGCCTTCCGCAGTGTTTGTGTCCCTGGGTACTTGAGATTAGGGAGTGGTGATGACTCTTAACGAGCATGCTGCCTTCAAGCATCTGTTTAACAAAGCACATCTTGCACCGCCCTTAATCCATTTAACCCTGAGTGGACACAGCACATGTTTCAGTGAGCACAGGGTTGGGAGTAAGGTCACAGATCAACAGGATCCCAAGGCAGAAGAATTTTTCTTAGTACAGAACAAAATGAAAAGTCTCCCATGTCTACTTCTTTCTACACAGACACGGCAACCATCCGATTTCTCAATCTTTTCCCCACTTTTCCCCCCTTTCTATTCCACAAAGCCGCCATTGTCATCCTGGCCCGTTCTCAATGAGCTGTTGGGTACACCTCCCAGACGGGGTGGTGGCCGGGCAGAGGGGCTCCTCACTTCCCAGTAGGGGCGGCCGGGCAGAGGCGCCCCTCACCTCCCGGACGGGGCAGCTGGCCGGGCGGGGGGCTGACCCCCCACCTCCCTCCCGGACAGGGCGGCTGGCCAGGCCGGGGGCTGACCCCCCCACCTCCCTCCCGGACTGGGCGGCTGGCCGGGCAGAGGGTCTCCTCACTTTCCAGTAGGGGCGGCCGGCCGGGCGGGGGGCTGACCCCCCCACCTCCCTCCCGGACTGGGCGGCTGGCCGGGCAGAGGGGCTCCTCACTTTCCAGTAGGGGCGGCCGGCCGGGCGGGGGGCTGACCCCCCCACCTCCCTCCCGGACGGGGTGGCTGCCGGGCGGAGACGCTCCTCACTTCCCAGACGGGGTGGCTGCCAGGCAGAGAGGCTCCTCACTTCTCAGACGGGGCGGCTGTTGGGCGGAGGGGCTCCTCACTTCTCAGATGGGGCGGTTGCCAGGCAGAGGGTCTCCTCACTTCTCAGATGGGGCGGCCGGGCAGAGACGCTCCTCACCTCCCAGACGGGGTCGCGGCCGGGCAGAGACGCTCCTCACATCCCAGACGGGGCGGCGGGGCAGAGGCGCGCCCCACATCTCAGACGATGGGCGGCCGGGCAGAGACGCTCCTCACTTCCTAGATGTGATGGTGGCCGGGAAGAGGCGCTCCTCACTTCCTAGATGGGATGGCGGCCGGGCGGAGACGCTCCTCACTTTCCAGACTGGGCAGCCAGGCAGAGGGGCTCCTCACATCCCAGACGATGGGGGGCCAGGCAGAGACGCTCCTCACTTCCCAGATGGGGTGGCGGCCGGGCAGAGGCTGCAATCTCCGCACTTTGGGAGGCCAAGGCAGGAGGCTGGGAGGTGGAGATTGTAGCCAGCCGAGATCACGCCACTGCACTCCAGCCTGGGCACCATTGAGCACTGAGTGAACGAGACTCCGTCTGCAATCCCGGCACCTTGGGAGGCCGAGGCTGGCGGATCACTCGTGGTTAGGAGCTGGAGACCCGCCCGGCCAACACAGCGAAACCCCGTCTCCACCAAAAAAATACGAAAACCAGTCAGGCTTGGCGGCGCATGCCTGCAATCGCAGGCACTCGGCAGGCTGAGGCAGGAGAATCAGGCAGGGAGGTTGCAGTGAGCCGAGATGGCAGCAGTACAGTCCAGCTTCGGCTCGGCATGAGAGGGAGACCGTGGAAAGAGAGGGAGAGGGAGACCATGGGGAGAGGGAGAGGGAGAGGGAGAGGTCCTAGTCTTGTCCCAACACACACTGGGGATCAGTTGGGTCTGCCAGGTGCCCCCAGTTGGGAGTGACTTGCTGGAAATAAGCTGTTAGAACAAAACTTAAAGCAACCAAGTGATAAAAGGAAAACAATGAACAAATCCAAAAAGCTGAGTTATGAATCAGAAAAGCCTAAGAGACTTCCAGGAGGTGATTTCAGCACCAGGCTGCATTGTTGCAGGGTATTTATACCTTTTCCAAAGGCTGAGAGTTCCTGGAGGTGTGGCAGGTGTGAGGGAGGCAGAGATATTTTATGTTACAACATGGCCAGGGAGAGGACAGAGGCAGGATGTTTCTATTTTATCCACCATTTCACTGTGGGTCAAAAACATAGCCTAGCCCCTATGATTAGGAATAACATCTATTACAGCTGACCCTTAACACAGATTTGAATTACACAGGTCCACTTACATGTGGATTTTTTTCAAGAAAAGTTACACCAAGTGTGCCTGCCTCTACTGCTTCCTCTTCTACCTCCTCTACCTCTTCCACCTGTGTCACCCCTGAAACAGCAAGACCAACCCTCCTCTTCCTCCTCTTCCTCAGCCTATTCAACATGAAGACAATGAGGATAAAGACCTTTACAATGATCCACTTCCACTTAATGAACAAATATATTTTCTCCTCATGATTTTCTTAATAAAGTTTTCTCTAGCTTACTTTATTGTGAGAATATAGTCTATAATAAATATAACATACAAAATATGTGTTAATCAAGTGTATATGTTATCAGTAAGGCTTCCCAGTCAACAGTAGGCTATTAATAGTTAAGTTTGGGGGGGGGGTAGTTAAAAATTATATAAGGATTTTCAACTGTGCAGAGAGGTTGGCACACCTAACTCCTGCATTATTTGAGGGCCAACCTTAATATTTTCTTCTTAAATGTTTATATGCTAGATACTTTACATATTCCTCACAACACTCTAAGATGTAGGTATTATTACCCCCACCCTCTTCTTTAACAGGTGAGAAAACCAACGCTTACAGAATGTGGTTAACCTATCTGAAGTCATGTAGATTACAAGAGATCCTGCAAGGATTCAAAAATTGCAAAATACAGAGAAGTTGAGGGAATTGTACAATGAATACCTACAATTCATACCGGAAGCCTGCCTGACTCTTAGGTCTTTTATATCCATATCACCTGACCAGAAGTTACCAGATTTGCTAGTATAGGAATTTTGCCAGGAGAAAACAGAAATCTGAAAACATCTGTGATTCCAGACTAATGAACAAAGTTCTTATCTTCAAAGTTAATCACCTTTAATGAAAAGGCCATCTCTCCTTTTTGGAGCTTCCTAAGCTTCCTTCAGTGTTTTTCAGGTTTCCTTTGGGCCAGCAAATTCAATCAGAATAATACACAATCTTGGCTGGTATTAGGGCTTCTGTCCCTTTCAAAGGTGCTGTGATAGGGGGATGAAGCTCTCTTGTTGCTGCCATTGGTGATCCTTGGGAGTCTCCCTTCCCTCTCCTGCAGAGCTCAGTGAGAGGCAGCCTTAGGCAAAGTTAAGCTCAGTACACAGCCAATGTCTGGTGAAGCAGAGAGAGAGAGAGAGAGAGAGAGAGAGAGAGAGAGAAGATGGGGACATCTCTGATCTATCCTACCCATCTCTGGGACCAAACATTTGTCAGACTCCATAAAATCATCAACCTTAAACCTGGAAGGGATCACAGAAATGATCCAGTTATACCTCACTTTACTTCTTAAGAAATAGAGGCCTAACAAGGCTTCCAACAGCCATATAACTGGCTAATGGCAGAGCTCACAATCCATCGCTCTTCTCCCTGCACCACAATGTCATTCACAGCCATTCAGTGATGCATCATTACTTTAGAGTACACTTAATACTATCAGGCATGATTTGAGAGGCTGGAGTTGAATTGGCGCCTTCTCTGCCCACGAGGGGCTTAAAATCTAGTGAAAATGACAGGGCCCATTTATTGAACAACTTCCGATGCCTCAAATACATTACTTACTCTACCCAACATTTCAAGTTGTGTTATTTTATGTTCAGAGAGGTTAATGTGTACAAAGATGAATGTGCCCAAAGCATTCATTGGTAGGGCTGGGATTTGAGCCCCTGTCCATTTGACTCTAAATCCTAGGCTTGTTACGCTGTGTAACTCTGCCTCCCTAATATTAACAAATGTGTGGGAGAAGCATAACTATGACCCCTCTACCATGCTGGCTCAGATATCCGTGTGGTTTCTAGAAGATTAAGAAGCTATTATTCTGGTACCTTTCTTACAGGGAAAAGATGAGGTGAAGTAATGCAGAACATGGAAATGACTTTCTAAAAAGGATTTGAAACAGCTGAGAGCAACATAAACAGCAGGTTAAAAGATGAAACAAATATGTAAGTAATGGGGGAAATGAGGACAAAGCAACAACAAAGGATAAAGAGGAAGCCAGGGGTGAAGGAGGGACATAAAATGCCTACCATAGGGTCCAGGAAACCTGCTAGCAGGAGTCAAAGGACTGAGCTGCATTTTGATGAAATCGTTCTCGAAAATGCTAATCTATCCTCATACACAGTCTGTCCATTAATACTAGAAAACAGAAGAAACAGAGAGACAGAATACAAAACTGTTAAGAGTTTCAGCCTCTCTATTCAATGGATTTTAGAGGACTCAACTTGATTCAAACTCCACGTTACACAGACTTTATTAGATACTGTCTTAAACCACAAAATAAACTTTACACCAGTATAGTACAATATAACTTTGTTTGAAAGCAATATCTTTTGCAGGCAAGGCCCAGTTTTCAAAAGGTACATGTGTAAGGCATTATTTAACTATATGTTGAATACAGCAACATTTAGCTGGGGTTTGGAGGCAGAAGACTGAGGCTTAAATGCATTTGATCCCTGTGGTCTAGTCAAGTTATTCTCCGTCTCCAGGTCGGTTTCCTAATTCACAGAATGAGGATAAGATCTGCTTTATCAAATGTTTGTGAGAGTTAACTGAAGTAATAGAGGTGAAATGCCTGGCAATTTCACGTCATTGATGCTGCTGATGAGGTAAAAACTTTTGATTTTCCTCCTTTGCTATGAGCTTATTCTCAGTCCAGTTTTGTTTCGGTGTTGTCTCCTTACCAGAGAGGTTAGTGGTAATTATTGTTAGTGATAACAGACCAGCATCTGGAAATGATATAGAAGACAGCAGATCATGATAATGTCCCTTCCCTTTTCCAAATAAGCACTCTGTCACAGGGTGGGTCCCCCAGAGTTTAGTGTGCAGGGTGTTGATTAGGGACTGCCCTCAGGATCAACATCTGTGGAAGGTGTGGGCAGAAGAAGCTGAGCTGTCATGCAGGCATCACCACAGCCCCTGCCCGTGGGGCGCACTGGAGTGGAAATGGCCCTTCAGAAGCGTCCCAAGGTGGGCCTAGATGGCCCGGCCTTTTTATTCCATGTGGGCCACTCTGGGAAGGGGGGTGACCTCGGTCAAGGGAGTTCTCCACAGCTGAGAAATCCCTGACGAGGCATGTCCTTCATGAAGTGGGGGGTTGAGGAGGTGGTCTGGGCAGTGCCCTACTGCCTATGCTGCACTTCCTCATAGGTTCTCTTTCTTTGGTGGCCCTCCTGCCTTTCCAGACACAGAGAATGTCAACATTCCTCCTAATTCTTTTATTAGAAGTTCCTAGGGCAGATTGAGAGAGATCTGAATCAAAGGTACACAGTGGTTTCCAAGGGAGAAGAGCCTCTTTATGTTCTCGGTTGAACAGCAACTCTGACTTCTTCTGAATGAATTCGTCAGGGGCGAAGGGCAGAATGCAGACAGGCATCACACAGCCCCGTCAAAAGAACCTGAACAAAGGTTGAGGGAGGCTGATGGGGGACATGTATAAAAAACACAGCCTCTGAGAGATCTGAAGTTCATCAAGTTCTACAAGCATGACCATATCCCAACCATATCCTTAAGATAATGAGGGCAAATGAGAGTGTAGCAGGTGCATGGTAGCTTAGTTCAACATCCAGCTTTGAATATAGAAATTAAGTACCTAAATGGCATAATACAAATGGCAGCACCTTCTTGTTGAGAAAAAGCTTTTTTAAAAAGGTGGAGGAGGGGTGCTACGTTCCCTAAATGTTCTTTTAGGAAGGAAACTCAGAAAAGTTTAGTCGCCACAGATATTACTAACGAAATATACCTATTTTCTTTGTCTTAAATCAATTGAGGAGGCCAAGAATTGTCCAAATAACTATAGTCTTCCATGAAACTCACCTCCTTATATCAACAGAAAGAAGGAAATATAAGTTTTCTGCCGGGTATTATACCCAAAAAGAGAGTGTTGTGTTTTTCCAGAGAGGCTACTAAATAATACTTCAGCGAAGCCCACAGAGCGATTATAAAGAGGATGGATGTCCTCCTTATAGTAAAACAGAAAGGGTCATCAAATCTGCTTTGCCAAGTATTTATCTGAATCTCCATTTCAAGACTGAGAGATCAATAATTCATCAGAGGAAAGAAAAAGAATTAATTAAACTACATTAAAACCACCTTATGAAATAAAATACCATGAAATAGCTTATGCACACACTGCTAGGGTCTTTTCTAGAACTTGTCAATTTTGGCTTCTGACAATCACCTCTGGCCAACAAATCTACCTATTATATTAGCTTGGCATCTGTACCTTTGTAGCTATTCGGAGAGGGCTGAAGAGAAAAACGGTGAAGTCCTGCCAACCAAATAAAATGGCACCTGTCAAAACATCAATTTGTGTGAAATGGCAAAAGAACATCTAATATATAGGGTCAGCCAATGAACATCTAAATAATAGTGCTTTTATCAGCAACGTCTGTGCTTGAGTTTACACTTAAAGCACACAATACAGGAACACAGAAGTCATGCAGGTTGAGTTAGAGCTGCCACTGATGTTTCATATTTGAGCTCCACTTCATGACAGGCTAATAGTGCATTTAAAGCATTGTTTATCCTGAACAGACAGAAAAGAGAGGCGGAGACCCTGCTTTGCAGACTACCTGTAATTATGGGTGTGCGTTAAGAGCAAAGAAAGGTCATGCCATTGATCCCATTTAGAAACACAACAGTTCAAAGCCTTTGAGAGTGAAAAGTGTGCGGCAGTGTGGGAGGGGATTTTCTTACAGAAAGTTATCAAAGGCATTATTGTTGTGTTTCTATTCCCAAACTCATATGAGCTCCTCTGAAGAAAAAAAAACCTGGCCAGGTGCGGTGGCTCTCGCCTGTAATCTCAGCCCTTTGGGAGGCCGAGGTGGGTGGATCAGGAGGTCAGGAGTTCGAGACCAGCCTGGCCAACATGGTGAAACCCCATCTCTACTGAAAACACGTAAACTGGCTGGGCGTGGTGGCACATGCTTGTCATCCCAGCTATTTGGGAGGCTGAGGCAGGAAGATCACTTGAACCCAGGAGGGGGAGGTTGCAGTGAGCTGAGATTGTGCCACTGCACTTTAGCCTGGGTGACAGTATTTATCTGAATCTCCTTTGAGACGAAGCAAGGCTTCGTCTCAAAAACAAAAATAAAAACAAAATCAAAGCATGATGTGGACAGACCCTCAGGAAAGTTAGTGACATCTATGCAGGCTTGTAACTTCACTCAGCCAGAGAGAAAGACACTAAAGTACAGAAGAATATCAGACCAGTGCTGGAACAGTGTCCACCTCATGATAAAGTGGATCAAACGGAAAGAAGATGCAGGGAATTAATACATCTTCCCTCTCAAGAGAAGGATGAGGGGTCATAGGAAGTGAAACAAATCCCGGAAAATCTCACTAATTGCGATTTCCGGATTTGTAGAGATGAGTGTTAGAGGCATGGATGGGTTTTAGAAAACATCACATAGTCCTTTACTTTTTTCTCCTGCTCTCTCGACATAAAGCCCTTTGTAAATGCAATCTGTGGAATGGTTTCATCTCAGTTCCACCTCATTCTCTATGAGGCATTTCTCTTTGAGAAACTGTAGTAAGAATCATCTTGTGACATTCGAGAGATTTTCCTGATAACGTCTTTGTATTGCTTTCCTTCATTTTCATTCTGTTATATCCACCTCGGTTTCCTTAGACTATCCTAAAGAAATCTCCCACTGTCAGTTTAGGGATTTAATAATGTGGTAAGATAATTGTAGAAACATTTGAATTATTGGTAAAAGAAAGAAGGTAGACAAGTCTGACACACACACACACACACACACACACACACACACACCGGTTCCCTGCCATATCCAAGCAGCAGTTTTCATCTGTTGAGCTCGAGTCTGCCAGGATTGTCAACACCCCACATCCTTTCAACTGTGAGAATGCAGCAAAAACTCCCTCACACATTTCCAAGGGAGGCTCCCAAACCCTTGCATTATTATGTCCCTTTCAGCTTCACTGCTGCGTGCACTCTAAACATGACAGCCTCTTTCTCCACAGAATACACACACGGGCAGTGAAAGATCTAAGAACAACTTACAAGCAGGGGGAGGTTGAGCTACATTCGGAAACAAATTGCTTTTCAGAGAACCATTTTCAGGAAAGAACCACCACCATTTGCTGCTAAATAAGCCCAAAGAACTTGAGAGGGACTGAGACAGGCTGGCTGGCTGTTTGAACCTGGTATTTCTTTAGAGCTGGGCCTTTCTTTCTAGAACTGTGATTTCATGCTTCAGTTTTTGGTGAAAGGCAAAGGTGTAGGAGAGGTGCATAGTAAAACTGAGCCCTCCAGAAGCACAGCACTGAGGTGATGCTTCCAAGGGGGTGACACACTCCTGGCTCCAGCCCTCTGGATCCACGGAACAGTTTCTTTTTTCTTTGAAACAAGCCTACCATAAAGACTTTTCTATCTACATCTACCTCTACAGTTGTAGACAGACACGTGGATCTTAGAGCAGGAAGTTCCCTTAAATATCAGCTATTCCAGTGGTTAGCCACGGAAGCATTTCTTAGATTGGTGGAGTATCACTAGAAAAGCAGATAGAACTGTTCTGGTTGACGTAGGGGAAGGGTTGGCCACCCCACATCACCACGCAGCCTTCACAATAGCTCCACAGAAACTTAGGTAGACTTAGTTTGAAAACTCTTTCGAGTGTCAAACTGGTGCGTTTCGGGACATAGCTCTGGCTCACCGAGGTGTCTTTGGTTTGGTTCTCCCAATGTTTTAAACATTGTTGTATTAGTTTCAATACTCAGAATCAGTAGATTTTTGCAAAAAGACAAGGATGCCAGGCTCCTGGCAGAAAATCAGAAGATAAAGAGCAAATGCGCCTGCATTGCCTCTTGGCCACAGTGTGTTGGGTCGAGTTGCTGCTTGCTACTGCTTTCACCACGTCTGGATACTGTTAGGTCACATGCCCACCCATTTTGGATTTGCAGCCTCCTCTGAACTCTGATCTAGGCTGTCTCATTTTACAGATGAGGCAACAATAATGATCTGGCTGGGTAGTGGCGAAGGTGGGACAAGAATTGATTTCCTAAGTTCAGGTTTGGAGTTGCCTTTTCAACCATGCATCAGCATTTCTTAAACTGGGGGCAGGTAGATGTAGTTTTCATGATCAATGAGAATATTTTTTCCTTAAAAACACGTCTGTACTTGACTCACATTTGAGAAATCCCACGCTACACCCAGCTGCCAGTGGAATGCCCAAAGATTCACAACTATATATTCAGTTGTTTCTGCTTTGTTATCTGTCTTGGAATAGCGGGACTCCTTGTGGCACAGCTTATTATCCAAATTTGTATATGCTGCTAATCAGATATGTCCCCTGAAACTTAACAGGTAGACAAAGAAAAGGCGTTTTTTTTTTGTTGTTGTTGTTTGTTTTTTTTGGAGACAGAGTTTCACTCTGTAGCCCAGGCTGGAAGGCAGTGGTGCAATCTGGGCTCACTGCAACCTCTGCCTCCTGGGTTCAAGTGATTCTCCCTCCTCAGCCTCCCAAATGGCTAGGACTCCTACAGGCATGCCACTTGGCTATTTTTTTTTGTAGGGATGGGGTTTCACCATGTTGGCCAGGCTGGTCTCGAACTCCTGACCTCAAGTGATCTGCCCACCTCAGCTTCCCTAAGTGCTAGGATTACAGGTGTGAGCCACTGTGCCCAGCCAGAAAAGACATTTTTAAGCAGTAAATAGTTCTGATTCTTCCAAGGTAACCTCACAAAGGGATCCACAGTTAAAGATACAGAAAGGAGTGTCACAGGAGAGCCCATGGCAACAGCACTGCCTTCTACCCCAGAGAGGCCAGGGCAGGAGCAGCTTCAGCCTCAGCTTCTAATAATGATTTGAGTCTGCTATACTGGGAAGTAGCACAGAGTAGTTGGTAAGTGAGTAGGCTCAACTGCGAGATGGCCTGGGTTCAAATTCCAGGTTCACCATTTACTGCTGGCATGATGTTTAAACAAGACATTTAGGTTCTCTGTGCTTTGGCGTAGTCATCTGTCATGGGAATAATATTTACCTTGTGAGAATTCAATGAGATAAGCCACATAGAGCTCAGTGCCTAGCACATAATGAATACTGATAAATGCATGCTATTATTAGCACAGCAGGTTTACAGTTTATAAACCACACTGACATCATTTCCTCCCACGTTTTCCATGTAACACATCTATGAGATAAGTAGGATGGATCGGATTCTGTTTTAACAGACAAAGAATCTGAAGCGGTTGAGTCATCCAAGATCAGGTAACAAATACTCAAATCCAGGCTTTCTGCCTCAAGATCCTAGGTTGCTTCTACTATCCACAATGCCTGTGGGGCCTCTAAGGAGTAGGAATGATTTTCCAAGACTATTCTGAGGCTTAGCTATCAACATGTGTTCATATTTAGTGGGAGCAAATCACTTAAGAGTTAGGGCTTTGAAGGCAAGTAGCAGAGGTGGGTGGAAAACCAGAGAGGGTTTATATAGAGAAATGAAAAACTGCAGCACACTGAGGAAATTTTTCATTTGAAATTTTGAAAACCCTGGAAGGGGATGGTGCTCAAATTACCTGCAGTTTTCAGGCACTGCAGTTTCCAGGTGGGGCCTTCAAGGGCACTCTGGTCAATGTGAGACCTTGGTCTGCTGTTCTCATCGGGGGTGGATGGAGTGCAGTATGGGGACTGGGCAGGAGACTAGGATGGGAGACAGGCAAGAGAAAGGTCCCAGCGAGGGAGCATGAGTGACTCTGCACATTGCTGGTGAGAGAGTTTACAGGAGGCAGCAGTCCCATTTCCCATGCAAACGAAACCTGTCAGATTACAGGATTTTCACTGGGTGCTTTCTATGGTGTTTCCTAAATTATTGCTTTGGATTCCAGAACTTTTATATTAGAACTAGGCACTGCAGCAAGCTTGTTGGAAATCTTGAGTAGTCTGTTTAGGACTACTGCTTGGTCCTAGAGGCAGTAATAGGAAATTGGCTCTAGCCTGGACAGGTACATTTTCAGCTTTATAAGAATCCAAATGGGCCCACAATTTTATTTCCTTTAAGGCCAATGTGGAAGAAATGCGGGTCTCTTTACCCTCCTGTGGTACTGTGGGCACTTTCTTCTCCTCTTGCACTCCTAGACCCCCCCTCTCCCCCGCCCCCCTGCCTCCTCCCCACCTCCCCTCTAGGTCTTGCTGAGGTGGGCCAGGCTGAGGTGAAAGCTGTGCTAAATATCTTCTGAAATAATTTAATGGGTTTCATTTCCTGCAGCCTCTTTCTATCCTCTGAGGGAGACATTTTCCATCTAGCAGGCCATGGTAAAAATGTTGAAAAGAACAATATAGTGTGGAGTAGGAAAAATAATTTTTGTATCTTGGTACCTGAGAAGATGTCCTGCAAGCTCCCTTCCCAAGACGCAGGGGCCCTGGGTGCAGCTCATCAAGATATTGCATTCTTTCCCCATAGGGTTGCCAGAAAAAGCACAGCACAGAAAGCTCAGTTAAATGTGAATTTCAGGGAGGAGAAAACCAATTTTTTAATATAAGCATGTCCCAAATACTGCATGGAACATATTGTTAATAACGCTAAAAAAGTGATGTGCTGCATATCTGAAATTCAAATTTGACCATGTATCTTGTGTTATTTTCTGCTAAATTGGGCCACTCTATTTCCCTAGGAAAGTATCTATATAAGCCTAGTGAGTGGAAAAGAAAAGAAGGCAGGTACTTTGAAGGTCTTCTGAAAACTGAAGAACATAATAAAATGATTAAAGATAATTTTTTCAAAAAAGATCAGTGCATAATACTAACCATTTCAAACAATTAATTTTCATTTTGCATATACTGTTCACATTTTTGTCCCTGAACATTTTTATTTTTTATGAATGTAATGCTGCATAATTGATATTTTGCTTTATTTTTTAAACATTGTCTCAAGTACTTCTTATAATTTTATACTATTTTATAATTATTTTTAAGGGTAATATAATGTTCCATAGAATTGAATATAGATACCTAGATTTAAAAAAAAATTTTTTAAGGATTTCCATACTGTTAGGCATTAAATAGTTCTCAATGTTTAAGTTTGGGGGGTTATTGAAATTAATAAAGTATCTGTATTTCTCTTAAAAATAATGTTATGCCTTTCTTGTCTTTAAGAAAAAGTGAGTATTTAAACATTTTGGGGGACACAAAAGCAGTGTTTGATTTGACAGAGAGTCTCTCCTTGATCAAACTTTTTTTTTTGATCTACTTTTTTTTTTATTATACTTTAAGTTTTAGGGTACATGTGTACAATGTGCAGGTTAGTTACATATGTATACATGTGCCATGTTGGTGTGCTGCACCCAGTAACTCGTCATTTAGCATTAGGTATATCTCCAAATGCTATCCCTCCCCGCTCCCCCCACCCCACAACAGGCCCCGGTGTGTGATGTTCCCCTTCCTGTGCCCGAGTGTTCTCATTGTTCAATTCCCACCTATGAGTGAGAACGTGCGGTGTTTGGTTTTTTGTCCTTGCGATAGTTTGCTGAGAATGATGGTTTCCAGCTTCATCCATGTCCCTACAAAGGACAAGAACTCATCATTTTTTATGGCTGCGTAGTATTCCATGGTGTATATGTGCCACATTTTCTTAATCCAGTCTATCATTGTTGGACATTTGGGTTGGTTGCAAGTCTTTGCTTTTGTGAATAGTGCTGCAATAAACATACGTGTGCTTTAATCAGGCTTCTCTGCTTGCTCTTCCCAGCCAGTCCTCGATTTCTGCATTTCTGTGTCCATCTTTGCATTGTTCAATTTTAATTAGAATCCTGTCACGTCAGTTTAGCCAGAGTCCTCCACCCTTGATATCTGACCAATTTCTTCATTCCCCACATCCCCCAGGTAATGTGTGATCACCCTGGCCTGGCTTTAGCAAGAATCCTATTAGGTCAATTTAGGAAAGACTTACCCTACCATCTCAGTAATTTTCTGACCATCTACCTCCCACCCTGCTCCTTGGCTATAAATCTCTCCTTTTCCTTGTTATATTTGGAGTTAAGCCCAGTCTCTCTCATCCACCGAAAAGCCCCATTATCACAGTCCTCCTTAATAAAGTCTCCCTTATTGTTTTAACAAGTGGTGTGAATAATTTTATCTTTAACAGTTATGGTGCCGCAACTTGGGTAGAGCCAGATTCATTATTGGACCCCTCCAGACCAAAGGTGGGATGTTAAGTACTCACCTTTGAAGCCTGTATCTTCACTCCTGACTGATTGATCAGGGATCCACTGGTGAGTCAGAGTCCTGAACCACTGCTCAGGACAAATGAAGCACAGTAAGGGCAAATTTTGATTCTTACAAGTCTGAGTACACTCTCTAACAGCTGCGTTAGAGGCCCAGATGAACAGAAGTTGGGGCCAAGTACAGTGGCTCACGCCTGTAATCCCAGCACTTTGCGGGGCCGAGGCGGGTGGATCACTCGAGGCCAGGAGTTCGGGACCAGCCTGGCCAACATGGTGAAACCCCATCTCTACTAAAAATATAAAAATTAGCCAGGCGGGGTGGCACACGCCTGTAATCCCAGCTACTTGGGAGGCTGAAGCAGGAGAATGGCTTGAACCTGGGAGGCAGAGGTTGCAGTGAGCTGAGATCGTGCCATTGCACTCCAGCCTGGGTAAAAGAGCAAGACTGTGTCTCAAAAACAACAACAACAAAAACACAGACGTTGGGTAAGAGGCCTAGGCAAGTAGAAGCTGGGCTAGGGGCCCAGGCTTCTTTGTTTGAAAGGTGCCTGCTGGGCTGGATATTTTTCTTCCTGACTCTGTCTTTAGTGAGGATTACTCCCTGACTCTCTAGGCTGGAAGTCTCTTTTCTCAATTATTTCTCTCAAGTGGGGTCTGACTTCCTAACTGTGCATTGGAAAATGTTTCCTGGCTCTTTGTGAGGCCTGCTTTGTTTGATCCTGTTTCTTCCATAGGAACTTCTCAGTTGGCTGAAACCACCTTCCCTAACCCCTGCTGACTATATGCTTTGCCACCTCTGTCCATCTCCTTCTTGTTGGCACGATTTTACTAAAGATAATGTGGAACTTCGTTGTCTTCTTTTGGAAACATAAGTTCGCACCCAACTGACCCCTTTAAGACCACTCCTTTCCCACTGCTTTTGCTCCTTCCCTCACTTTACTACCTTTGATCCCCCTTCTGTCCTCTTGTAGGGGAGCACTTTGATATACCCCTTCGAGTCCCTGCTGCTTCTGCCTTCTGTCCCCCCCACCGCCAGGCCTTTCCTTTCCCACTGCAGCCTTTCAACTGCCTACAGCCACTTGAGCTTTAGGCCCGCTGCCTCCAGTGGGGACTCTCAAAGGATGCAGGGATTCCCAAACAGCAACCACCTGTGGCCAAAAGAAAAGAAGAAGAAAAGGCTAATTGGAAATAGACTAGACATTTTATCTACTCAGCCAGGCTTTGGAGATGTCCAGACAGCTGTTTGATGTCCCCTCACTCTCTTACCTAAAATGTAGTCCATAAACATCAGGGCAAATGAAAATCTTAAGTCTCCTCCACAAATATGGGTAAAAAATATTAGCCCTCATATTGAAGGTGAATAGTTGCATGTATGTCTATGTATGTATGTTATGTATACGTGATATTTTCTTACCTCTGGATGGTATTACAAAATTAATTTATAAAATTCCTTAAAGGAGTTTTATTCAAATTGATTAGAAATAAATGGGTGCTTATATAAACTAAATATTCCTAAAACTCCCAGAAATATAGGAACTAACTCAAATGTTTTTCAGTTTCACATGATGTGGGTAAATCTTTGGTAAGTAAGGTTAGTTTAAGACTATTGGCTTAATAAAAATAGTTGCGTGTTCTTCGTTGTCAGCATTAAACATAGTATGAGCATACTTTTTATTCCACTTGGGATTACTAGCCAAATAAAGTTAAAAATAGTTAATAGGGAAATAACTTGAGATGATATATTAGTTTAATGTTATAATATATCTGTCTGAAAATAGTTTCCAAACTCTTTTTGGTAAATTGAATCCTTAGACTTAATGCTAAATTAAGTAATACATATTTATTAAATATTAATCATTTCTAAGTAAGATAAATTACTCAAGTATTAATTACTAAGCACAAGTTAAGTTTATATTTTTGGCTTCTTATTTTTATATGGTATAGAGAAACTGAAAATATTTGGATCTGTTAATAAAAATAAAAAGTTGTGCTATAAGAAGTGTGAGATGCAGGCGGGCATGATGGCTCATGCCTGTATTCCTAGCACTTTGGGAGGCTGAGGTGGGCAGACTGCTTGAGCCCAGGAGTTTGAGACCAGTCTGGGCAACAAGGCAAAACCCCCTATCTACAAAAAATACAAAAATTAGCCAAATATGGTGGCATACACTTGTAGTCCCAGCCACTAGGGAGGCTGAGGTGGGAGGATCGCTTGAGCCTGGGATGTTGAGGCTGCATTGAGCCCTCATCCTGCCACTTCACTCCAGCCTAGGCAACAGAGAGTAAGGCTCTGTCTCAAAAAAAAAAAGACATGTGAGATGGTATCTTCATAAAATTTGTTAGTCTGCTACAGAATGCTTGTTTATGACAGATAACTCATAATTGTCTACCCCTTACTAACCCTTAGTTTTCTCTGTAAAAGGAGATTACTAATGGTTAAAATTACAATCAATATATGTCAATAAACCTATTGAAAATAATAAGGGAACAACACTGTATGAAAAGTATGCAGGGAAATAGGATGTGTTTTTGATTTGTATTTTCATGGCAATATAATTATTTGCCCCAGTTCAATAAGAATCTAGTCTTGTAATATGACACTATTGTAAACATTGGTTATTTATTACCAAGGCTTTGAGTGACATCTCCTATTTAAGAATGATGTGCATAGGGCTGGATGTGATGGCTCACACCTGTAATCCCAGCACTTTGGGAGGCTGAGATGGGAGGGTCACATGAACTCAGGAGTTCAGGACCAGCCTGGGCAACACAGTGAGATGCCACCTCTAAAAAGAAAATAATAATAAAATAATGATGTGCATAGAATCTGATTTAAGAAACTATGGTTGACTTTATGGAACCAATGCTTATAAAGCTGTCTTGGAAACATCTGGCCTGGTACCCAGTTTATAGTGTTCTAGCCTTACGGATGTCATTCCCTGGCAGGCCTAAAAACCTAAAGATATTTGGTGACCCTAAGAAGAGAGAAATTTACCCAGTCTATTGATATTGCAGGGGAAGTTTGGTGGCAAGTTCTCCAGAGGCTTTTAATATGAGATTTAATATGAGATTCTGTCTTAGACTCTTTAAGACATACCTGAGACTGGGTAATTTAAAAATGAAAGAGGTTCAATGGACTCACAGTTCCACATGGCTGGGGAGGCCTTACAATGATGGCAGAAAGCAAAGGAGGAGCAAAGGCACATCTTACATAGCAGCAGGCAAGAGAATGTGTGAAGGGGAACTGCACTTTGTAAAACCATAAGATCTCATGAGATTTATTCACTATCATGAAAACAGCACAGGAAAAACCTGCTCCCATGATTCAATTACCTCCCACTGGGTCTCTCCCATGACACGTGGGGATTATTACAGTTCAAGGTGGGATTTGGGTGGGGACACAGCCAAACCATATCAGATTC
Organism: Homo sapiens; assembly: GCF_000001405.40. Lineage (NCBI taxonomy): Eukaryota > Metazoa > Chordata > Mammalia > Primates > Hominidae > Homo > Homo sapiens. Next base: position 15,742,401 of record NC_000006.12, read on the forward strand.
CTATGAGAAGTTCCAGCAAAGCAAACTCAAAAGGTTCTATGTGATCAATTACCATTCTTGCTGCACTTATGTAAATAATCAGGCCAAATCTAATGAGACTAGATTTATTTTGTAAACAAGAATGAAGGAGTGTAGTAATTATAGAGAAAAATTTTATGTTTCAATGGAAAACAATAGTGCACCCTGGTAGGCTCTGTCTTGTACGTTTTGTCAGTCCTTAACAAATTCTCAATTCTTTTCATTTCCTCTGATCTGACTACAACTCTTCAAACTAACACTTCTAGTTTTTTTCCTACCCTCGTGGCTTGACATCATGGAGGACTAAAACTGCCCTTTTCCCAAAGTCCTGAAAGCTGAAGCTAGACAACTCTATATATAAGCTTCAAAGAAATCACAACAGATCACGTCTGGACAATCTTTGCTGGCTGCTGTAAGGGCCATTCAGAAAGTTCAACTAAATGCCAAATGCCATTACCAAAGACACTGAAACTGCAAACCAGGAAACCTGTCAGATTGCTACTGCCATCCTCATTCTACTGCCTAAAGATGCTCCAAGCCCATTATCTAGAAATTTTCTGAACTGTTTGCTCTTCAGATTCAGCAACTGCAGTTATTAATTTTGGTTGGTTTTTCTTTTATTTACGTAGAAATTATTATTTCTTATTTCATGCCTAAATGTTTGCGTCAACGTCAGTAAATACAATCTACTACCAAGTCCGAGCAGATGGTTCCACTGGTTGGTAAAGAACAAAAGGTGACTGCAGGAGAAATGGACCTACATTGTAGCTATGTTACATTCTTTCTGTCTCTTTTTTCCTTTGAACGAGAGGATGCATTGACAAAGAATCTCTCCTTGAACAAAGTTAGGTTCCTCTGAATCCTCTTCCCAACTAGTCCTCAACTTTTGGACTTCCGTGTCTATCTTTGCATCACTGAATTTTAGCAAGAATTCTGTCAAGTCAGTTTAGTCAGAGTCCTCCATCTTTGATATCTGACTAATTTCTTCATTCTCCATATCCCCCAGGAATTGCTCATTACCCTGGTCTGCCTTCAGCAAGAATCCTATTAGGTGAGTTTGGCAAAGAATTATCCTACCCTCTTAGTAATTTTCTATCCATCTACCTCCCACCCAACTCCTTGGCTATAAATCTCTCCTTTTCCTTGTATGTGGAATGGAGTCCAATCTCTTTCCCCCACTGCAAAACCCCATGATAGTATTCCCCCCTTACCATTCAAGTAAGTAGGCTGCCTTACCATTATACAAGTGTCACAAATAATTTTTTTCTTTAACAGAATGTAGAAAAATTAGCAATACAGACAAATACAAAGGACATACTCCTCCCCAAACAACTCTGTGGACTCCTTGGTCTGTATCTTTTCCATTTCTTTTCTATATATGCTTCCAACAACGGGGTCATACCATAGTTACCACATTGTAACATGATTTTTCATGGCACCATGTATCATGATTTTTTTTTCATATCAGTAGACAGATTTCTGCAACATTTCAAGTAGCTGCATAGTATGGAGGCTTCATGTTTTAGCTGGACAATGATCTATTGTTGAACGTTTTCATTTATCATCCCAACTTTTCTTTATTGAAAATAGTACTGACATGAATATCCTCTTGTAGCTAAATCTTCATACACATCTTTAATTATTTTCCCAAAACAATTTTCCAGAAGTGAAATTGCTGTACCAAAGGTCATGAATATTTTAAGGTTCTGATAAGCAGGACCAAACTGCCTTACAGAAAGTTTGTTCCAATTTACATTCCCATTCACAGTTAAAAATGACCAATTTCTCAAGGATCTCACAAATATTGCTTATTATACATACATATTTTTCCCATTTTGATGGTAGAAAATGGTATCTAGTTGCTATTTTAAGTTCACTTCTTTGATTACTAAAAAAATGAATATTTTAATGCTTATTTGCTGTTTGTTTTCCTTTTAATTCTTTGTTCTTTGTTAGTCCTTTTTCCCCAGTGGAATGTTCTTTTTTTCTCATTGATTCATAAGAGAATATTATATTAAGAATATTTATATTCTTACATATTAAAAATATTAATATTCTTACATATTAAAATATTAATATATATTAAGGATATTATATATTAAGAATATTACCATATTCTTCATATATTAAGAATATTACCATATTCTTCATATATGAAGAATATTACCATATTCTTCATATATTAAGAATATTACCATATTCTTCATATATTAAGAATATTACCCATTGGGTTTTTATATTAGAAAATTTCTTTCCTAGATTACATGTGATATTTATTGTGAATTTTTTGAGGTACAGAAGTTTTAAAAGGAATTAATTAGTAATTGCTATATACTAATTATTTTGGTAGAGAATTATATTTTTTATAAAATATACAATTGAAAAAAGGGGAACAATCTTTGCTTAATTTCACCCAGTAGTTCTGGTATGGTTTGGCTGTGTCCCTGCCCAAATCTCATCTTGAATTGTAATCCCTGTAATCACCACATGTCAAGAGAGGGAGGTGATTGGATCATAGGAATCATGGGGTGGTTACCTTCATGCTGCTCTCTGACAGTGAGTGAGTTCTCACGAGATCTGATGGTTCTATAAGTGGCACTTCCCCCTTTGCTTTCTTCACACTCTCTCTCGCCTACTGCCGTGTAAGATATGCCTGCTTCCCCTTCCACCATGATTCTAAGTTTCCTGGCCTCCCTAGCCATGGGGAACTGTGAGTCAATTAAACCTCTTTTCTTTATATTACCCAGTCTCAGGTATTTCTTTACAGCAGTGTGAAAATGACTAATACAAGTTCTGAAGAGCGACTTAAACTTAGAATCACCTGAGATGCATTAAAGCATCAGGTGTCCTGCTGTCTGGGGTCTACACTGAGGAGATTCTAATTGGTTTGAGGTGGGGCCTGACATTGTTGTGTTTATAAAGCTCTGCAGGTGATTCTAATTGCAGCTAGTGGACCAAGGGTAACTCTAGTTTTTCTCATGGTGCCAATAAGGTACAGAAATTTTAAGAAATATAGTCTCTGAACTGTGGCCCTGTATAAAACCATGGTGTTGTGGCAAACCTATCACAGGTTATAACATACAGTTTATTTAAGGTTTTAACATTTTAACCAAAGAGACACATATTTCCTACCACCAGGTTTTGTTTACCTCTCACAGTAAGTGACTTTCTGAAGTTACAAGTACTTGGACAAAGCAAGAAGCAGAGGATATGTTATTGGTGTGGTTAAGGGTGGTGTGGCTGTTGTTTTTTCCCTCAAGATTTTGCTTGTTGGCTTAAGGCCTTATTTACTTTTTTCTTGTACTAGGTGCATACACCTAGAGCAATAACTAATACTAGTACGATTACTACTAACACCATTCCTGTTGCATAGATCAGAGCATCTCAAAGTTTAATCTGCAAAGGAAACACCTGGAGATCTCTTAACATGCAGATTCTGATTCTGTAGAACTGGGGCTTCCTGGGATTCTGCATTTCTAACAAGTTCCCAGCGGGAACAAGTGATGCTGCTGGTCCTTGGGCCATACTTTGAGCAACCAGGTAATGATTGATGAGACTGGGTTTAGAGATTAACCACATTTCTAGGAAGTAGCAGAGTATGTATTAAAACCCAAGTTAGCTTGACTTCAAGGTCACTGCCTCAATATCTAACAAAATGACACACGCATTTGCCTTTTGATCCAGCGATCCCAATTCTAAAAATCTGTGAAGATTTACTTTCAAAATATAAAAAACATGTAAGTACAAGATAAGGCACTGCAGCATGATTTGTGATAGTAAAATACTGGAAACAACCTGAATGCTCATACACAGGTGAATGTTCATTCACCTATGTCCGTACAATGAAGTACTATGCAGCTGGAACAAAGAATGAGGAAGATCTCTATGACCTGAGCTGGAGTGATGTCCAGGATCTGCTGATGAGTGAATAAAGCAAAATGAAAAAGAATATATAGTATGCTATTCCTTTTGGGAAAAACAAAGGGATATACAAAAATACATATGTGTCTCCTCCTTCAGTGCAAAAGAAATACAGGAAGGATAATCCAGAAACTAAGATGGTTGAGTATCTGCTGGGAATGGGATGAGAGTGATGAGGAGAGAGCAACACTTTCTGAATATACCATTTTGTATAGCTCTGGCTCTTAGAAATATAATGATATTAGGCTGGCCACGGTGGCTCATGCCTGTAATCCCAGCACTTTGGGAGGCCAAGGTGGGCAGATCACCTGAGGTCAGGAGTTTGAGACCAGCCTGGCCAACATGGTGAAACCCCATCTCTACTAAAAAAAAATACAAAAATTAACACACGCCTGTAATCCCAGCTACTACTTGGGAGGCTGAGGTGGGAGAATTGCTTGAATCTGGGAGGCAGAGGTTGCAGTGAGACAAGATTAAGCCACTGTACTCCAGCTTAGGTGAGAGAGTGAGACTCCATCTCAAAAAAAAAAAAAAAAAGAAAGAAAGAAAGAAAGAAATATAGTGATATTTTACATACCCTCTAAAATAAATGTGTAAATAAAGTTAACCAGGATGAGGAGGCACAGAGTAATATGAGGCCCAAAATGGAATACAAGCAATAACAAATGAACCTAAATGTATTACAAATGAGTAATATAACCATACAGAAGGGGAGGATGAAGAATCTAAGAAACTTTAGAAAATAGCATCTTGACTGCATATGTAAGTACGTAAGGCTAAAGACAGAAAGAACTGTAGATAAATGTTATACTCTAGTTGGCAAATCTGTTTCCCATTGGGGTAATGGGTTAGCAATTCTGCAACCCCGCAATGTACAGTTTGGGCAAATAAGCAATCAACTCATCTTGATTTTCCTGGACTTCCCTGGTTTTAAAACAGAAAGTCCCATGTCTCAGGAGCCCTCTCAGTTCCTGGCAAACAAGAAAGGTTGGACACCCTATATACATGTGAATGTATTTTAGATCAGAAGAGTAAGACTTCATTGCTGGAGAAAAAAAGCTACAAATAAGAAAGGGAAAAGAAATTAATCTTGTGGTATTAGATTGGAACTGGAGGTGTCAATATAAATTTGTGGTTTTTAATGCAAAAATAAACCATTGAGTGTGTATGTGTTAGTATACACACACACAGTATTTCCTAACTCTGCTTGCTTTGAGGCCTAAGGACAATGACCCAGTAGCACAGAGATTTTAGTTTTGAAATACCTTTCTAAAATCAAAGAAACAAGGGCTCTTTGGAGAAGTTGATTCCAGACTGGGGCAGGGAAATACAAGATAAGCCTGTGGTGCCAGAAGTTAAGAAAGTGCTTGAAAAGAATTGGGTACATTAAAAGGACACAGGAATCAACCTGAAGGAGCTCTCGATTGCCAAAGCTGAAACAATTTAAACAACAGGATGGGCATAGTGATTCATGCCTGTAATCTCAGCAGTTTGAGAGGTCGAGGTGGACAGATTGCTTGAGCCCAGGAATTTGGGACCAGCCTGGGCAACACAGCAAAACCCCAACTCTATTAAAAATACAAAAATTAGCAGGGTATGGTGGTGCCTGCCTGTAATCCCAGCTACCCAAGAGGCTGAGGTGGGAGGATCACTTGAGCCTGAGAGTTCCAGGCTGCAGTGAGCCGAGATTGCACCACTGCACTCCAGCCTGAGTAACAGAATGAGACCCTGTCTCAAAAAACAAACAAACAAAACAAACTTAAGTAACAAAGTAAATGATAGTGTTGGATTATAACCCATAGAATGAAGTACATATCCATGAGTTCGCACTGATATACATAATTGAGCAAATAAGTAAACAGGGGAGAAGGGACAGCTTTTCTTTACAGAGGAACTCATATGTAGAAGGACCGAGCAAAGTGAAAATCATCACTAGGTGAACATCATAGTAAAAATTACTGTGGACAAAATCCACTGATGGATGCTAAAATTAGTGGGCAAAAGTTCAAAGAGAAACAAAATGCTAGCCTTGTCTCAAGTATCTTCCCCAAGATATTTATCAATTACCGAGAAGAAAATGGTAACTTTACAGTAGAGAAACTTTGTACACACTACCTAAGCCCAGTGATCAATGTTAACATCGCCAGTAATAAGACATTAACTTCATGAAACCCCGGCTATGACGCACTGAGGACAAAAACACACTGCTGTGGTGTTCTTGCCAAAAATTGTACAACCTCAATCTGGTCATGAGAAAACATCTGACAAACCCAGATGGATATTTTATGAAATAACTGGCCAGTGCTCCTCAAAAGGGTCAAGGCCTTGATGGATATAGAAGGACCAAAAAACTATCCCAGATTGGAGGATACTAAGAAAACATGACAACTGTATGCCATGTGGAATCCTGGATTGGATACTGGAACAGAAAAAGAATATTGGGGGAAAATGTGAAATGTGAATAAGGTCTATTTTTAAGTTAATAGTATAGGCTGAGTGCAGTGACTCATGCTTGTAATCCCAGTGCTTTGGGAGGCTGAGGCTGAAGGACTGCTCTCTGAGGCCGAGAGTTTGAGACCAGCCTAGGCAACAAAGTGAGACCCCATCTCTACAAAGTTTTTAAAAATAGCCAGGCATGGTGATGCATGCCTGTAGTCCCAGCTACTCAGGAGGCTACGCTTGGAGGATCACTTGAACCCAGGAGTTTGAGGTTACAGTGAGTTATGCTTGCATCAGCCTCCAGCCTGGACAACAGAGTGAAACCTTGTCTCAAAAAGAAAAAAAAAGGTATAGTATCAATGTTGATTTAATGATTTCATGGTTTTGATCATTATTATATAGTTTTATAATTTTTTAACATTAGAGGAAGCTGAGTCAAAGGTATATGTAGGCTCTCTATACTATTTTCGCAATTTTTACATCTAAAATTATGTCAAAATAAAACATAAAAATCTAAAAATAAAAAATAAAGTCACAGCCCTTCCCACTATGAGGCCATTTCATAGTTGGTACCTGCTTGCCAGCTGCCCCACCCCAAAGCTCTGTGATATAATGAATCTCCCTTACCTAGCTCTGTTACTCAGTACAACACTGACACATCAAGGTGCTCAGGAAATGATTGGTTTTTACTAGTTTATCACTAGATAATAATGTACTATTTTAAGTTACTTTACTTGGCTAATGGATGGTTATTTGGTGACAAGCTGGTGGCAGGGTTCTCCCTGTTTTTTAAAGCTGGTCTGAGTCAGCATGAAACTTTCTCATTCTGGGCATCTTGGGCTATGATCACAAGAACAAAGCGAATTCTGATTTTCTTTTCCTAATCAGATCCAACTCTATTGTTAATTTTACAGTTGCAAATAATGCTAGACAGCATTTATTATATGCCCACTCAGAATCATATTCAAAACCAGGAAATCCACATTTGTTCCTATAGGTGCATTTTTAGACATCACCTTATAAAGCATGGAATTGTAAAATTCTACTTTCTGTATGTTACCCTCTTCAATCACAGCAGAGACTTGTGATCCCCTAAAGGGCAGAGGGCACAACATCCATCCTTCAGTCATCTGGATTACCGTTTGTTCTCTGATCTTTGGTCCTCCATTCTCCAGTTCCTGGTTTCTGCTCTTTTGGAGTCACACAACTTAGTTCTCTCACCTGGAAAAAGAGAGAAGATAATATCACAAAGCAGGGTTGTGGTGAGGATTAGAAAACATGATGTGTAAATAACTATGGTACAAAAGCATGCACAAGTGCTTAATACATGTTCACTTCCTTGTTTCCTTCAGTTTCTTCTGTGCCACAGGGCCTGCTTAACCCATTAACAACATATAACAGAGTTTGGCATTAAATAAGGTTTGATACAGTCCTCAAACTACAAACTAGAGTGTTAACCTAAAGGCTACTGTTCCAAGGTTTATAAAAAATTATAAGATTACATAAAGTGCCCTAACTATAAGCTCAGCAAACATGTAAACAATCTAAATATTCAGTATTATAAATTTGATCAATAGAAAATATGCTGATGGTGATAAGTATCAAATTAAACATTCTCTGGGCAGTTGTATTTGTCTCTTATAGGAAGTTTTTAAAGAGATGATTTGCATAATTCAGACCTCTTAGAAAGTTTTTAGAACATATTTGGACTGATGACTTCTTTTTTATCAGTTATTCAGTAGTACACAGAGACGTGTTCCGTGAATGTGTTATTAATCATGATAATTAAGATGACAATGGTGTTTGATACTGACAAATTCATTTTAAAGAATTAATCCAATTTTTGCCCTCTTTAACATCCTCAATTTTCTTATTTAAAATTGTAATAGTTATAGAAACAAAGGTTTATTAAAAGCTTACTATATTATAAGCATTATTCTAAATCTTGTACATGTATTAACTTTTTAAATTCTCCCCAAAACCCTGTTATAATGATAACAGCTCATGGTTCTATAGCATTTACTATGTGCCAGAAATTGTTCAAACACTTTATATGCTTTAATTCACTTACATCTCACAGCAGAAATGTGATGAAATTATAGTTGTTAACTTATTTATAAGGAGAATAAAAGTAACTTGCTGAAGACTACAAGCTCAGGCAAAATCAAAGTACTAGGAAATAATAAATGTCATTCTATCACTTTACTTTTGGCTGTCATGGGTCCTATTTAATTTTATGTCTGCCAGCAAAAGAACACTTAACACTGTGTCCTAATAACAGATAAACTAGACCATTAAAGGGGACTTCAGATCACCATCAGAGAATTGCTAAAATGATCGCAATATCCTGAATATGCTTGATGTGTTTTCCTTTGTCATTTTCAACATTTTGCTGAATTTCTTGTCTCTGGGTGTGTGTGTGTGTGTGTATGTGTATGTGACAGAGAGACAGAGAGCGAGTGAGCACGCGCACAAGAGAGCGCTCCTTTCCTGCCCTCCTGGCTTGACATCATGGAGAACTAAAACTGCCCTTTTCCCAATGTCCTGAAAGCTGAAGCTAGACAACTCTATATAAACTTCATATAATTCACAACAGATAATGTCTGGACAACCTTTGCTGGCTGCTGTGAGGGCCATTCAGAAAGTTCAACTAAACACCAAATGCCACTAACAAAGACACTCAAACTGCAAACCAGGAAACCTGTCAGATTGCTACATGCCTGGTACCTGAACCTGCTGTAGCCATCTTGCACCCAAAGGGGAGTTAGCACACTGAGGATAGAGGGGAAAGAATCTGGGTCTTTGAGATACAATTGAGTAGGTGAACCAATGGATCCTGGAATTACTATACCTCTCTTATATAAGACAATAGGCTTATTGTGAAAGCAGTTTTCAGTTTGGGTATCTATACTTGAAGCCAAAAGCCTTCTGATACAGACATATTAACTATACTCATATTTCCCTCCATGTTCATGTAATAGTTGTTTCGCAGAGGGAAATATGAGTATAGTTAATATGTCTGTATAAGAGTATACCTTATCTTGGTTTACTCTTCAGAGATATAAACATGCAAACCACACATACACACAAACACACCAGGAGGTCTCACTACAAATCAGTGCAGTAACAATCCCCAAATCTCAGTGGCTTAAAACAACAAATGTTTATTTCCTGCCATGCATGCCTGCTGTTCATGTCTACTGTGAGTTGGCTCTATGTCATCCTCTCTCTGGGACCAAGACTGATGGGGAGCACTAACTTGAAAAATTGCATGTCACTTCAGCAGAGAACAAAATACATCCCATGGATCGCATACTGGCAATTGGATGCTGTAGCCCAGGAGTGACACACATCATTTCCTCTTCCAACTCACTGGCCAGAACTAGTCACACAACCCTGCCCAACCACAGGACAGCAAGGAAATGCAATGGGATCATGTGCCTGGAATGAGAGAAGTGGAACGGCACTAAGGACTACCAAAGTTTATTAAGTATTGAAGCTGCTAAATAAGGCTATTCAACAGGGGAGGGGAAATGAGGGGTGGCAAGTAAACAGGTGAAAGAGTTTTGTTGTTGTTGTTAGCATTTGGATTTTCTTAAACTTTGAAAGATTGAAGTATGACCATAGAGATAAGTGTGCAAATCATAAATGTACAGCTCAATGAATTATCAGAAAGTGAACTCATTTGTAAAATTACCACCTAGATCAAGAAATAAAATATTACCAGTTCCCTAGAAACCCACGTTGTGACCCCTCCAATTTCTACTTCTGTTCTTCCTCCCAAAGTTATCCTATAGACTGAAAATTTAAAAGAAATACACATTTTCACACTCATCATGAAGGAAGTAGAAAGTATCATTCCTTTGGGGTTTCTCTAAACCTTGGGGAGAATGACTATATTGTTATTTTGGATAACTGAAACCTACAGAGGGTAAAGAATGAATCTGAGTTTACTAGGAAGTAGCACAAACCAGGGAGAACTAGGTTCTCTGAGACTTGGAGGATGGAAAGTTCTGTGAATGGAAATGATACAGGTACTTGCTCCCCTGCACTCCTCAAGGTGTCAGGACCTACGATGATGCTGTACCTTGCTTCCTGGGAGTTAGCATTGGCCATCTTGGCTTTGGAGGCTTGCAGCCCAGACTGAGGCAGACTGGAATGCTGATGAGTTTCTCTGTGGCAGCTATGCCTGATAAACAGCAGAGGGCCAAACTCAACGCTGGTACTGGGAAATGACAGGAGAAAGAGAAGTGATAGCAACCAAACCGGACTAAGGCCAGGCCCTGCCCTATCTCCTGGCCAACACTCAGGATTCCCATTCTATCCAAGGGGGGGTGGTGGTGGTGGTAGTTAAGTGTCCCAGTAATGACCACTTTTGTATGTCCTCCCAGCCAAGGAGGTGGAGGCACAAAGCCAGATATAATTTAGCTTAAAACACAAAACAGGCCAGGCATGGTGGCTCACAACTGTAATTCCAGCACTTTGGAAGGCAGAGGTGGGTGGATCACTTGAGCTCAGGAGTTCAAGACCAGCCTAGGCAACATGGCAAAACCCCTCTCTCTACAAAAAATACACAAATTAGCCAAGTGTGGTGGCGCATGCCTCTAGTTCCAGCTACTCAGGAGGCAGAGGTGGGAGGATCGCTTATGCCTGGGAGGTCGAGGCTACAGTGAACCCTGATCTTGCCACTGCACTCCAGCCTGGGCAACAGAGTGAGACCTTATCTCAAAAAAAAAATAAATAAAAAATAAAAAATAAACCCCACAAAAACAACAAACCCACCAAAATTAAACATTAAAAAACAAAAAAAAAATTATGCTGTTTCTAGCCCCTGATTTAAGGAGCAAATTTAAGTGGAGCCATGTCTGGACTCTGCAGAAAATGTTGCAGTTTACTGGTGATGTCTACTATGGGCGCATCTAAAGCTATGCTGTCTGCCATCTTTGTTGTGGAGTTTGGTAAAATCATGTTCCTCTCCCTCCTCACTTATGGGATAGGGTGGGTAGGGCCTCTTTCCTCGGTTGTTATCTGAGCAGAGGATAGTAATTCCATCTTCCTTCAGTGCCAGGTGGGCTGTGAATGTGAACTTGTCCTCAAAATGCAGTTTCACCTTCCTGTTGTTGATGTCCAAGTCTGAGGTAAAGCAGCGGAGCAGAGGGTTGGCACTGTGTGTGTTCTCTGTGAAGCCCAAGGTGTACCAGTACCCTGACATAAACTGGGGAAGGGGCACACAATGAGTGTATCATTCCGGGTCCAAGCAGAGAAGAAGATGGATATGTATATATAATTCATTTGAAACACAATTATAGGAGCTGGCTAAGCAGCCTCCCCAAGGCTGTTTCCTTGACTAATGTTTGAGCCTGAAGTCCATGAGCAGGCAGGCAAGGAGAGCTGATGAGAGCAACCTAGAACCCCACGGGTTCTAGGCCAGACTGAAACTCATCCTTTTTTTTCCCTCTCACCTTGATGATGAGGGTATCCTGCAGAAGTTGAGGCCCTGTGTCATGTTGCTGAACAAGTCATCACCCACCCCAGGGGTCAGAGAAGCTGTAGGAAGGTCCAGAGGGAAGGGAGGGCAGCGACAGGCCCAACCACAGCTTCATGTCAACGAGGTGAGTCAGCAGATCAGCAAAGCCTGTCCATGTGCTGCAAAATGGCTGTCCCTGCCATGCCTCCCTCCATCTCTCATGAGAGAATAGCCCTCTAGCTCTTCCTAACTGGAAACACAGGAGAAAGAATTCTGGGAAATGTAGTCTAGCCTAGCCAAGTTAGCATATTCCAAAGCTCACTAAGGCTGTGGCTCTGCCCACTTCTCAGGAAGTGAGTTTGGTCTTTAAACCAATACCATGTGGCCTCCCGTTTCCCCAGCTGTTTTCTGCCTCTGCTGGCAGAGCCGCTTGTGTTAGTCCAGGCCAAGGAGCAGACACCAAGCTAGATTACATGTGCAAGATATTTACTAGGGGAAACACCTATGAAAGAAAACAGGGAGGAAGCCGAGAAAAACTTGGAGAGCTTTCATACCATGATGCGAGTCCAACCTGGGGGAAGGAAGAAATGAAGGTTGGATAGAAACGACAGACTTCGATGCAATTCTAAGGAAGGTTGGGCAATGCTGCCTGTCAGAGCAGCCCTGCTTTTCCCTGAGGCAGGTCTGTTTTAGCATCCCGATGTGCTTAGGAGCAGCATTTGGGAAGTGTGGCCTGCAGGAAAACGCAGAGTTGCATTTCAGAGCACAGCGTTGGGGGCTCCTCGATCAATTGCTCTCCCGGCAATAGGAGGTCCAAAGGTGCCTTGTCCTGGCCATGCTGCCTCGTTCTCATTTCTTGCTTTGGTCAAAACTCAATCAGCCCACCTTCCTCTTTTGGAGCATGAGAAGTAACTAACTAGGGCCAGGAGTCTTGCTGGCGCCTCTTTTGCCCAATGCCTGATTTCTGTTCAATCAGGATAAGCTGTCAGGAGGAGATGGTGGCCATACTTGGAGGTGAAGGGAATTCCAGAATATTCAAGGAAGATGGAATTGTTGCCTTGATCATACAACTGGTCTAACCTTAGATCATTTTATGAAAGTGTTTGGCTAAATATTAAACACTCCTGATGCCCTGTGATTTATTACATATTTCTTAAGGAAAAAAAAAACAGAACCAATGAAGTTTTCTGCTATGAAGGCGGAAGTATGGGATTTGCTAGAGACAGGGATTTGGAAAATATAGGTCAAGGCATTTTCTGCAGTCTTTTATTTCTATTCTCTTGAGAAATCAAAGGTAAGCATCTGTAACAAATGAACGTAATGAAATGGAAATAATTTTTGCCTAGGCATTGGGAAGTTAACGATTCATTAAAATGTTAACTCCTGGAAGGCAAGGATTGTTTTTCTGAAGCTGTGTGACACCTAGCGGGTATCTGTACAAAACAGGACTTAGTTGCTCTTTGGCAGTGAGTCTTTTGAATTTTTGGCTTTCTTTTCATAGTTGCGTAACAGCAAAAATAAATTAATTCCCATTGTTCATGGGAAATGTGGGGTGGAATGCACCACAGCCTTACCAAAGCCTGACATTAGTATCTCGCGTTTACAGCAAACAAACTCTAGTTTTGCAATAAGTGCAAATTACACTTTTGCAATTCTACTTTTTCTGTAATGCTCACTCACCAGAGATTCTTTTCCGATCGAGCATACAGTCCCCATCATGGTTTCTCATCTATGCAAAGATGGAGTGTGAGTGGCTCTACTGACCTTTGTTCTCAGTTTTCTGCCCTTAGGGTCAAATTATGCACTTTTAATGAGAATTCATATCATTTTTTTTCAATGAAAATACGAAGGGCTGATTGGCTAGATTGTTGAAGCCTGTACTGACAGCTAATAAACGAAAAGGATCATCAAGGAATCATCTCCCTTCCAGTGTACCTGCCTAATGGGAAAAACACAGAGGTAAATTGTCTTTATTCCCTGTTAAGCCCTAAAAATGGGAACAACAATGCCTTCGGATTCAAATTCCCTAGAGAGCATTTGTTTGTTTCAAGGTTACAGATGAATAAGCCTCACACGCTCATTAGGCCCCACCGACCTCCTAATCAGCTCAGGAGATACTGAAAAGCAACCCTCTGTTAGTAATTTCTGGCTAGGACACTGTCTTTTTTTTTTTTTTTTTTGAGACGGAGTCTCGCTCTGTCGCCCAGGCCGGACTGCGGACTGCAGTGGCGCAATCTCGGCTCACTGCAAGCTCCGCTTCCCGGGTTCACGCCATACCCCTGCCTCAGCCTCCCGAGTAGCTGGGACTACACGCGCCCGCCACCGCGCCCGGCTAATTTTTTGTATTTTTAGTAGAGACGGGGTTTCACCTTGTTAGCCAGGATGGTCTCGATCTCCTGACCTCATGATCCACCCGCCTCGGCCTCCCAAAGTGCTGGGATTACAGGCGTGAGCCACCGCGCCCGGCCAGGACACTGTCTTGAAAGAACTTGTTTTCCCCTAATTTAGAGCAGTCCCCTGGGTGTAGCAATGTTTGCTGGAGCTTGGTAAACAGTCTGTCTGACACATTGCAGTTGTTGGCAGCTTCACACCAAGATCCTCATCAGGTCTAAAGACTCAGAAGTGAATTCATTAATATCTCCCAGACAAGGCCTTCCACTACTGCAACAGTTATCAGGAACTAGGATGAAGAATGAATTGGGGCCGGGTATGGTGGCTAACGCCTGTAATCCCGGCACTTTGGGAGCCCAAGGTGAGCGGATCACTTGAGGTCAGGAGTTCAAGACCAGCCTGGCCAATATGGAGAAACCCCCTCTCTTACTAAAAATATAAAAAATTAGCCAGGCATAGTGGTGAGCACCTGTAATTCCAGCTACATGGGAGGCTGCAGCAGGAGAATCGCTTGAACCTGAGAGGCAGAGGTTGCAGTGAGCCAAGATCAGAGTGAGACTTTGTCTCAACAACAAAACATGAATTGGAAACACGTTAAGAGCCCCAACCTTGGATTACTTAGAAAACAAGCCTGAATCTCTTTCCCATTGATAACAGTGTCTGTTTACCCATTTTCTTCTACTTTATTCTTCATAGCCAGGCCTATCAATTTTGCCTGTAAAAAGTCTCTCATTGCTGCCTCATTCTCTTTTCTCCCACAATCAGGGATTGTATTCAGCTACACTTGTAAGGTACAGGTAAAGCCATGACAGCTGGCAAATAGCCACTGGTGAGTGCTTCCCCCCACCCCATTATCAGCCCTGGGCCGACCCAGCACACACCAGAGCACCAGGCTGGCCACAGCTCCAGCCCGGTTAGATGATCTGCTCTACCTAAGTCTTTACCGCCTGTGATAGGCTGATAAAAGTCCCCAATATATCAGGTCTGTGGTAGCTTACCTTAAAAGTCAGACACCTGTGATTATTATTTCAAGTTGCCAAAGATGTCATTAAGTGAAGGATTTTGAGATCAGAAGATTGTATTGGATTATCTCGGTGGGCTTCTAATGTAACCCCGTAGTATGCCTCTAAACAGGCAAACAGATTTTGTGTCCAGAATTGGTGGGTTCTTGGTCTCACTGACTTCAAGAATGAAGCCGCAAACCTGCTCAGTGAGCATTACAACTTTTAAAAGCAGCGTATCCAGAGTTTGTTCCTCCTGATGTTCGCATATGTTCGGAGTTTCTTCCTCCTAGTTGATTCATGGTCTTGCTGGCTCACGAGTGAGGATACAGACTTTCACAACAACCGTTACAGCCGGTAGGACTACTTAAGACAAGACAGCCTTCACTCCTCCTGGTGGGTTCATGGTCTCACTGGCTTCAAGGGTGAAGCTGCAAGCCTTCACGCGGAGTGCCACAGCTCCAAAAGTAATGTAGACCCAAACACTGAGCAACAGCAAGACCTATTACAAAAGACCAAAAGAACAAAGCTTCCACGGTGAGAAACCAAAACGGACAGCTTTGCTACTGCTGGCTTGGGGGCAGCCTGCTTTTATTCTCTTATCTGGCCCCACCCACATCCTGCTGATTGGTCCATTTTACAGAGAGCCGATTGGTCTGTTTTACAGAGAGCTGATTGGTCCATTTTGACAGGGTGCTGATTGGTGCATTTACAATCCTTCAGCTAGACACCAAAGTTCTCCACCTCCCTACTAGATTAGCTAGATACAGAGTGTCGATTGGTGTATTTACACACCCTGAGCTAGACACAGAATGCTGATTTGGTGTATTTACAATCCCACAGCTAGACATAAAGGTTCTCCAAGTCCCCACCAGATTAACTAGATACAGAGTGCCGATTGGTGTGTCCACAAACCCTGAGCTAGACACAGGGTGCTGATTGGTGTGTTTATAAACCTTGCACTAGATACAGAGTGCTGATTGGTGTGTTTACAATCCCTTAGCTAGACATAAAGATTCTCCAAGTCCCCACCAGACTCAGAAGCCCAGCTGGCTTCACCCAGTGGATCCGCACCATGCCGCAGGTGGAACTGCCTGCCAGTCCCACGTCGTGTGCCCGCACTCCTCAGCCCTTGGGCAGTCGATGGGACTGGGTGCCGTGGAGCAGGGGGCGGCACTCGTTTGGGAGGCTCAGGCTGCGCAGGAGCCCACGGTGTGGGGGCAAGGCTCAGGCATGGCGGGCTGCACGTCCCAAGCCCTGCCCTGTAGGGAGGCAGCTAAGGCCCAGTGAGAAATCGAGTGCAGTGCCGGTGGGCCAGCACTGCTGGGGGACCCGGCGCACCCTCCGCAGCTGCTGGCCCCGGTGCTAAGCCGTTCACTGCCCGGGGCTAGCAGGGCCGGTTGGCCGCTCCGAGTGCGGGGCCTGCCAAGCCCACGCCCACCCGGAACTCTAGCTGGCCCGCAAGAGCCACGCGCAGCCCCAGTTCCCGCCTGTGCCTCTCCTTCTGCCCCTTCCCGCAAGCCGAGGGAGCCGGCTCCACCCTCGGCCAGCCCAGAGAAGGGCTCCCATGGTGCAGCGGTGGGCTGAAGGACTTCTCAAGCGTGGCCAGAGTGGGCGCCAAGGCTGAGGAGGCGCCGAGAGTGAGCAAGGGCTGCGAGGGCTGCCAGCACGCTGTTACCTCTCAATTTGACAGCTGACACACAAAGAAGAAGGCCATGTGAATATGAACAGGGAGAGACTTGAAGATATTGGCCTTGAGAATTGAAGCATTGTAGCTATAAACTCAGGAATACCAGAGCTACCAGAAACTGTTAAGAGGCAAGTAACCCATATTCTCCTATGGTTTTTAGCAGAAGCATGGTCCTATTGACACCTCTATTTCAGACCTCTGAAATCCAGAACTGTGAGAGAATAAATTTCTGTTGCTATAAGCCTCCCAGTTTGTGATAATTTGTTATAGCAGCCCTAAGAAACTAATATACCACCTTGTACCAGAATCATAGCAGCCTCCCAGCTGACTTCTTTTTTTTTTTTTTTTTCTTTTTTTTTGAGATGGAGCCTCTCTCTGTCGTCCTGGCTGGAGTACAGTGGTGCAGTCTCAGCTTACTGCAACCTCTGCCTCCCAGTTTCAAGCGATTCTCTTGCCTCAGCCTCCCAAGTAGCTGGGATTACAGGCATTGGCCACCACTCCTGGCTAATTTTTTTGTTTGTTTGTTTTTAGTAGAGATGGGGTTTCACCATGTGGGCCAGGCTGGTATGGAACTCCTGACCTCAGGTGATCCACCCACCTCAGACTCCCAAAGTGCTGGGATTATAAGGGTGAGCCACTGTGCCCAGCCCCAGCTGACTTTTTGCAGGGCAGTTCTCTCCTCCCTAACCCGCCCTGCGCACTTAATTTTCCTGAGCTCCTCTGCATGGTTTCCGAAACTTTCTATAATGTGTTCCTGTCTCTTACTGGCATAGCTTTAGTTTCCATGAATAGTAATAATAATAACTTTATTGAGTGCTTTCGATGTGCTAAGCACTGTGCTGAAAGATTTATTGCAAATGTGACATTTCATTCTTGCAAAAACACATTGAGTTTAGTATTATTATGCTTACTTTACAGAAGAGGAAACTGATGCCCAAAGAAGTTAGGTAGCTGCTCACGTGAATGGCAGAGCTGCAGGCACCCTCATGCTCTCAGCCAGTGTACTGTTTTTGTTCTCCCTCCCATCTGCTTGTTTAAAACTTACCCTCATTCCAGACTCAGTGCATAGACCACCTTCCCTCCAAGCCAAGTTCTATTCTTCTGTAAAATATCTTCTTGAAATATAATAAAAGATTTTTTAAAAACGTTGAAAGTGTTTTTTTGTTTTGTTTTTATTTATTTATTTTTTTTTTTGAGACGGAGTTTCGTTCTTGTGGCCCAGGCTGGAGTGCAATGGCACGATCTCAGCTCACTGCAACCTCTGCCTCCCGGGTTCAGGCTATTCTTCCGCCTCAGCCTCCTGAGTAGTTGGGATTACAGGTGCCTCCACCACGCCTGGCTAATTTTTGTATTTCTAGTAGAGACGGGGTTTTGCCATGTAGTCTAGGCTGGTCTTGAACTCCTGACCTCAGGTGATCTGCCCGCCTTGGTCTCCCAAAGTGCTGGGATTACAGGCGTGAGCCACCGCGCCCGGCCAAAAGTACTTTCCATTCCCTATAGAAAATGTGGAAAATACAAGGAAGAAAATGCAGCTCCTGAGTATTTCAACCTTGGAGGGTTTTCTCCCTAAGCATAATTAAAAATGTAGATTTTAAAAATTAGGATTATTCTTTTTATCCTATTTTGTAATATGGTATTGGCTCAGAAACATAGCCCTTCCCCAAAGTTTTTTTTATTGTTCCATGCATGTTAGTTTTCTAAGTAGATTTTAAACCTAGAAAACAGAGGTCATGATTTATACCATTTCGACATTTCTAGTTACCTCAGAGTATATAATTGGGTACATGGCACTCATTCAATAAACACTTGAATTAACCAAGAAAAATGTTTAATCAACAAATATTTATTGAGTGGGTTAGGCTTCTCTGACCTTTTAGTTAACAATAAACTTAATCTGTGAGTTGAAAGCCCAGCTGAACAACTCACTTTAGGTTGGAATAACCTGCTGATCTTGGAGACAGAAGCTCATGCCGCTTATTAGTGTCTACACATAGGGTGAGCCATTAAAGCTCTGTCAGCCTCATTTCTCCAACTGTATAGGTGAGAAATGTGTGCTTGATTACCTTATCAACTCTCTCACCTCTTCCAGGATTATGTGAGAACCAAATGAGGTAATGTTCAAATGACATAATACACAAGAGCACTCCATAAAATAAGGAGGTATGTTGTCATTCTTCTTTCTAACCTTGCTATAGTGGGTGAAATGTGTTCTGAATATACTTACAATTTGTCCCCACTATTGATCACATCTACATCTTGGTAACATGATCTAATATTATAGACTCCAAATTATTAGCATTTATATTTTAAATTATTACTTTTTTTTTTTGTTTGAGACAGAGTCTTGTTCTGTTGCCCGGGCTGGAGTGCAGTGGCGTGATCACAGCTCACTGCAGCCTCGACTTCTCAGGCTCAAGCGACCTTCCCATTTCAGCCTCCCAAGTAGCTGGTACCACAGGCACACCACCATGCCATGCTAATTTTATTTTATTTTATTTTTGTAGACATGAGGTCTCCCTGTGTTGCTCAGCCTGGACTGAAACTCCTGGGCTGAAGTGATCATCTCGCTTCAGCCTCTCAAAGCGCTTGGATTACAGGTGTGAGCCATCCTGCTTTTCCTAGGATTTTAATCGTATTTACAACAATTTTTAAAACTTAGTTTTAGTGCTCACTGCTAGTTCCCTTCAGTCATGACTTTCTTATTCAGTGTTTGAATTCTTTACTTTGTGAATATTTCCAAGTAATTGTTTTAGAAAAAACACAAGTGGTAAATCATCCAGTTCTTTAATGTCTGGACAATGTCTGAATATTCTTCTGTTGCCCTTTATATTAGAGTTGCCAGATACAGGACACCCAGTTACATTTGAATTTTCAGATCATCAGTGAAAACATTTTAGTATAAGTACGTCCCATGTAGTATTTAGGACATACTTACATTACAAGCATATTCATTGTTTATTTTAAATTTAAATTCAACTGGGTGTTATGTTTGTGTTTTAATTTTCTCAACTTGGTAGCCCTAAAATATATACAACAATTTGATTATAGAATTATTGGGTTATAGCCTTTTCCTCTCAAATCTTTGAAAGTGATACACCATTAACTTCTTTTTTTTATTATTATACTTTAAGTTTTAGGGTACATGTGCACAACATGCAGGTTTGTTACATATGTATACATGTGCCATGCTGGTGTGCTGCACCCATTAACTCGTCATTTAACATTAGGTATATCTCCTAATGCTATCCCTCCCCCCTCCCCCCACCCCACAACAGGCCCCGGTGTGTGATGTTTCCCTTCCTGTGTCCATGTGTTCTCGTTGTTCAATTCCCACCTATGAGTGAGAACATGCGGTGTTTGGATTTTTGTCCTTGCGATAGTTTGCTGAGAATGATGGTTTCCAGCTTTATCCATGTCCCTACAAAGGACATGAACTCATCATTTTTTATGGCTGCATAGTATTCCGTGGTGTATATGTGCCACATTTTCTTAATTGAGCCTATCATTGTTGGACATTTGGGTTGGTTGCAAGTCTTTGCTTTTGTGAATAGTGCCGCAATAAACCTACGTGTGCATGTGTCTTTATAGCAGCATGTTTTATAATCCTTTGGGTATATACCCAGTAATGGGATGGCTGGGTCAAATGGAATTTCTAGTTCTAGATCCCTGAGGAATCGCCACACTGACTTCCACAATGGTTGAACTAGTTTACAGTCCCACCAACAGTGTAAAAGTGTTCCTATTTCTCCACATCCTCTCCAGGACCTGTTGTTTCCTGACTTTTTAATGATGGCCGTTCTAACTGTACACCATTAACTTCTAACCACCATTGTGGAGTCTGATTTTTATTCCTCTTCTGGCAACCTTCTTTTTTTGTTCTTCTGAATGTGGTAGGGATTTTTCTTTGTTTTTATGATATAAAGATTTGTAAGGACATATAGGAATTTCAGGCCTTTAATCAAGGCTTATAAGACTTTTGGGACTTTGGAAATTATATCAAGTATCTGGTAACCAATCTTCATGACTTACCTTAAACTTTTCCTCCCCGACCCCTTTTTGTTTAAATATGAACTTATTGAGGATGTCAGCTGTGTATTTACATCTCTGAGCCTGTAATCCACAGAACAGTGAGAGAGAGTTGAAGAAATGTTGGTTACAATATCAAATGAATGAATGGGGCTGAACATTAGAACTAGCCACACGTTTCTCATGCATAGTGTCGTCAAATGATTGCACAATAGTTAAGTGTAACAATATGAAGATAAACTCTGAGAAAAGTTCCCCAACATAAGGAATACCCTCAAGAATGAAGCAATGAACATTGGTTTCAAGGAATGGAGAGATTAAAACAGGTCTTATTTTTTGGTATGGAGGATATGATGCAGAAAAAAATTTAATTACAAAAACATAGGCTATTAGGCTATTACTTTATTCAGAAGCAGAGTGAAATTCATATTTCATTTTGTCACCCTTGCTGAGAGGCCCAGGAGCATGAGAAAATAATTTTCCCACTTTGTAATGAATGACAACAGGGTACCCCCACTGTTAAGAAGAGCAACATTCCAGCATTTCACAAAGCCGAGAGGCCAGGGAGAGCTCCTTGGATTGGGTCCAGACAGACTGTTCCTGGAGAGGGTTGTAAAGGGCAAAGACTTCTGAGGCCATCAGCATGTTGCAAAGGGAGGGAAATACCCTTTGATGTGAGACGGCAACCCTGAGTCAGCGGCCTAATTTCCAGTCTCAAACTGTCTGTAAAATCAAATCACAATCGGACTTTGCTGCGTACTTCGGCTCTGAGGTCGTCACCCTCCAGAGAGTGAGTTCATCTTCCTTTAGTTACCAATCTCTCCCAGCTCTTCCATGACTGGAGCAAATAATGCACATATGGCACGCAGTTCTGCAGGTGCTGTGAAGATTTTTCTCCACTGCCTGTACTTTAGCACAGATTCATTTTCTTTAGAGCAATAAAGGTAAATCTTCTTTGAATTATCAAATCTTAGCTGCTAACCTCAGTGAGATTTAAGCTGCTTCTAATTTGGATCCCATCTGCCTTGCCTTCCTTTATTGGCTTATTGTTTATTCAGTCACATAGCTTTCCCATGGCATCTGATTTCCCATGAGATCCTCTTCTTTAAAAGTTAAGTAACAATAATAACAACAGTCAAGCTCCCAGTGTTCTAGAATTCTACCTGGAGCTTTTTTCTTCAGCTGAGCTTGATCCCAGCACCACCCTGGATGCTAACCCTTGGATAGTGGCTGCTACCTCAATAAGGTCCTGAGTCTCTCTCATAATTAAAAGATTATGTGACTTCAAGAGCCCAGAGGGAAAGCGTTCTCATTCCTAGAGCTGTATCACCACTGTTCCTGATAAAGTGTGAAAAAATCAAGTCTTGAGCAATGTCATTGCCAGCTTGTAAACTTGAGTATCAGAATGTCACACCAGGAGTTTTCAAACGGCATGTGTGTGTTTGTGCGTATGTGTAGACCTACATATAGGCATGACATTGATAACTATGAGTTACAAATGGGTTATGCAACTGGAGAATGGATCAGACCCAGTATAGAATCTTTTCTATTGCCTCCAGAGATTTATCTTGATCAGAATCAAAGCCTTGACATTTTTAACCATTTATTGAAACTCTATGGCTCTTTTCTTGAATTAAGAGATTTGATTCTTATGAGAATCTGGAAAGGACAACAAAGGAGGCGCTGGTCTCTGTCTGCTGGCAGGTGTTTGGCAACGTTTAGGAGAACGTGCATATAGTGTTATATAGGATGGGGCAATGAAGCTATTTCTGAATCTTTGAACTAAGTCTTGCTTTTTTGGAACATTATCATTTCAAGTGTGCTATTTTACCACACACTTCCAGGTCATGGTGGCCTCATTGTTCTACACCTGCTATCTTGAGGGGCATGGCCTAACTGTTAATGATGCCATGAATATGCATGAAGAGAAGTCAAGCAGGTAGCTTTGATATTAAGAAGTGATAAAAATCATCATTAATGGATTTAATGTAGTTACCCTAAGCAGGCATCCCAAAGTAACATAAATACACAGGATAAAATATGCATAGATGAGTTGTATAATTCCCTTACCTTATTAAGTAGGGTAAGTATTAAGTAATAAGTAATTTTTCACCCAGCTAGAACTGGGAGAGAATGTGTGCACTATTGTATGGCCCCAGACCACGTTGGCACTGACCGTTCTCTTTCTTCCCATTCCATTCCCCATGATTGATCCTGTTGGGTGTAAAATACATAAGGAACAAAAAGCTGCTGAATCTGGGGGGAAATTCATTTTTTTTTAAATTCTAGGCATTATTTTATATGGTACTGAACAGTCCTTCCAAGGCCAATAATGTAGGTGATTCTAGTGAAGTTCATTGTTGAATCCAGGACTTGAGCAGAGAAGAGACTGGACAGGCTAAGAGGAAGGAATTGGGCTTGGTATTATCCAGACACCAGTCATCAACTATCAGAAAATCACTATGTAGCATACTGATTGTAAGGAAAGGGCTGATTAAAGGAATATGCTATGCAATGTCTGATGTCAGACTGGGCGGGAGGACTCATATGCAAAGCAAATTCTGGATGTGTAGGTCAGGTTTGGGGTTCTGAAATATGATTGTGCACAAGCGGGAGACCAAAATGCCTGGGCTTGGTTCTGTAGCAGAGAATACCCACTGACATGAGGGGAAGATCTAGTGGTAGATAGCAAGGCCCTGCAAGGGACCTAGAGACATCTGGGTAAGAATCTAAATATGCAAGGTGCATGTTAGGAACACAGACAATAAATGCCTGGGTTGCAGAGTCAGAGCCCAGACAGAAAACGCTTGAGCTCCAGGAACAGTGCCCAGACATGGCATGCCTAGGCAAGGGGACAGAGCCTCATTACACAAAAACTGGGAAGGATCAGCAGCAAGGTGATAATGACACCAATAACGATTACAATAATAAACATGAATAACCATAGCTAATATGTACTGAGCATTTGTTATATTCCAGGCTAAGTGCTTAACTCATACATGTTTTTTATTCTCATTTAACAGGGGAGAAAACTGAGGGCTAGAGACGTTAAGTACACAGTTTAAGGTGAAACAGTGCTAAATGGCAGAGCTGGGATTTGAACCCAACTTTGTCTCACTTCCAAGCTCCTGAGCTTCCCTCTTTTCAGGACAGATCCTGATAGAATTTCCTTCCCAAGGTGGTGAGGAGGCTGGAGCCTGTAGCAGGGATGGCACACAGGTACACATCAAAAGCAGATGAGTGCTGCTTCCAAAATTAACGTAAGTAAATATCCAGCCTGGTTATGCAAAAAGAATTCTAGCCTTCAAAACCTCTGAAAAGTAATCACCCCACCATGCTCAACATGGATGAAGATCTTCATGGAAATCTATTGTCTGTTTTGAAGATATAAATAATGCAATTAAAATATAAAGTGATATTCCTGGCTAACACTGTGATACCCCGTCTCTACTAAAAATACAAAAAATTATCCAGGCGTGGTGGCGGGTGCCTGTAGACCCAGCTACTCGGGAGGCTGAGGCAGGAGAATGGCGTGAACCCGGGAGGCGGAGCTTGCAGTGAGTCAAGTTCGCACCACTGCACTCCAGCCTGGGCAACAGAGTGAGACTCTGTCTCAAAATAAATAAATAAAAATAAATAAAGCGATATTGCTGGGGACTGCATGATGGGTTGGGAACTCACATATATCATTTATTGTTTGTTGAATTATGTACCCCAGAGAGTTATATTGAAGTGCTAATCCCTGGTACCTGTGAATGTGGCCTTATTTAGAAATAGGGCTTTTGTGGATATGATCAACTTAAGATGAGATCATATTATATTAGAGCAGGCCCTAAATTTAAAGACAGGTGTTCTTATAAGAAGAGAGAGATTTGGAGACATACAGTTACATAAGGAAGAAGGCCATGGAGGATGGAAGCAGACATTGGAGTTATCCTGTCACAAGCCAAGGAAGGACAGGGATTGCCAGCAACCAACAGAAGCTCAAAGACGCAAGGGAAGATTCTTCCCCAGAGCCTTCAGAGAGAGTATGGCCCCACCAACACCTTGATTTCAGACTTTTAGCTTCTAGAACTGTGAGAGAATAAGTTTCTGTTGTTTTAAGCCATCTAGTTTATGGTAATTTTTTTACAGTAGCCCTAGGAAACTCATATACCATTGGTGGGCCAGTTATACATTGATAAAATCTTGTTCTTTTGTTTTGTTTTGTTTTGTTTTTTTTTTTTTTTGAGACTGAGTCTCACTCTGTCGCCCAGGTTGGAGTGCAGTGGCACGATCTCAGCTCATTGCAACCTCCGCCTCCCGGGTTCAAGCGATTATGTTGCCTCAGCCTCCTGAGTAGCTGGGAGGTGCTCGCCACCATGCCCAGCTATTTTTTGGTATTTTTAATAGAGATGGGGTTTCATCATATTGGCCAAGTTTGTCTTGAACTCCTGGCCTCATGTGATCTGTCCACCTCGGCCTCCCAAAATGCTGGGATTACAGGAATAAGCCATCGTGCCTGGCCATAAATTGAGAAAATCTCCTTGAAAGCAATTCAGCAAATGCATCAAAATCTTTTCATATTTTCAGCGTTTTATTTTTAGTAAACTATCCTTATATGTTCCTCATAAAATGAGATACAGAAAAGCTTTATTCACGGTTAGTTGTTGCCTTATATATATTTTTAAAAAGAAAATAACCTAACAGCTAATAAGAAATTATTAAATAGTCTATGATATAGCCATAGAATAAAATGTCGTGCAATCATTAAGGCACTTAAAAATAAGTTTTTGTAATGTGGGAAAATATATAAGTTATAATGGTAAATGAAAAACTGGGAAATAGAATATCCAATTTAATATGATCATAACTCAGATATAATATGCATGGGGGAAAACTGGAAGGAAATATATCAAAAGATTAATCATGATGATCTTTGGGTTTGGGAACTATGGGAAACATTTTTTTCTTTATGTCTTGATATTTTAAAATTATCTATAATACGCACATATTACTTTCGATAATGAGGGGAAGAAAGAACTTATCAAGAAAACTTAGAGGAATTTTATTAGAGGGTTGAAAAGAAAATGCCTCCTGAAGTCATCTCTGAAGAATGTAAACCTGTCATTATTTATTTATACTCATGATAAATTAGGAGCAAATATGTTTTAATGTCAACAGTGTTAGTAATGCTTATATTTGCATAGAGGCGTATAGCACCTTAAAGGGCTTACAGTTTGCAAAACATCTTCACCCCGTATCTACTGTCCCATTTGATTCTTAAAACTAGTCTGTAAAGAGTAGGTATTGTTATCCTTATTTTACAGACACAGAATCCTGTGATGCTGGTAGAAATAAGAATAGAATAGGGGTGGAGCTGAGCACTCCAGGAATTGCAGGCTGTCCACTCCTGAGAGTGGCCTAGGCTCTGCTTCTCACTAGTGCAAACTTCTACCAGCCCTTCTGCCTTTGGGTTCCAGCTCTCTCAGCTACAAAATAAGGAAGATGCATTACTTCCCTTGGCTTTAAAAATCATATCATCTTAAAATCTGTGAGGCCTTGAGAGATGATGAATTACCTAGGAAGTCTTTAACTTTTTGATACCCCGGATTTCTTCCCGGAGATGAGATAATAGTATCAATTTAAAGTGCATTCTTTCTTTCTTCACTTCTGCCCAAAGTAGAAATCCCTGAAATATCCTTGTTCTGTCTTTTGGAATGGGAACGTAAGCAGAGTTCCATGAACATTGACTTCGTATTCTTCCAGCTCACCTCTCTTATGAACAGAGGCTGTGGAAATATTGACACCTTTATATGCAATGATTTATTACTGTATCTCAGGGACAGGATGCAGGACCACGTGGAAATACGCTTTTGTAGGCCTGACAGCAGCTCATCAGACAGCCATTCTCCCAGCCTGGCAGCTTCTTCTCTTCTGCCTCCTGTTATCCAAATAATAGAAACATAAAATCGAAAGACTGGAGGAGAGCTCAATAGGTCAGCTCATCTAGCTCTAGGACTGGGTTAAGGATGGCTCCTAAATCACCCAACTTTCTCCCTTTATAGAGGCTCTGTTCATTTGATAATCAATGCCAGAGCCAGAGGAAAAGGCATCAGAATATAAAGAAAGGTTTCCCTTTCCACATCCCACTTGCATTAGAGTATAAATTATAAAGGGCACTTTAATTCTACGTCCCAGTTTCCAGCAGTACAGAGACTCCAATGGTTTCATCTGAAATTAACATTCACTCCAGCCCCATCATTCTTGCTCTGTCTCACAGGCTTGCCTGGAGGAGACTGATAAATGGCATCCTGCCAATCAGATCACTCAGTGTCTTCAGAGGAAAGCTCCCAGGGCTTCTCTGAAACCTTGGTGTTCATTCATACACATTTATTAAGCACTTACTAAGTGCAAGGCAAAATCCAGGGCCTTTTGCTTTTCTTCCCTCCCTTCCTTCTTTCATGGAGAAATGTTGTTTGAGCTCCTACTTAGAGTGTGACAGATGCAGTGTGGATATAATGATGAATTAGTCACTGCCAAGGAGGAGCTCACGGTCAGTGGGAGGGAGGGCGACATATAAATAAACATGAGGCAGCAAGCGGGAAAGGAGAGAACACAGATGTCCAGATGCCGAAGTCAGACCAACTAGGTGTGACTCCCTGCTTGGGTCCTCAGCTGCATGACCTTGTGACAGGGCATGTCATTTCTATGAGTTATGCCCTTATGTGTGAACTAGAGATGATTATATCCCTCTCAAAGGTTGGGCATGCAGATGAAATAATATAACATATGAAAAACATCTAATGCGAAACCTGGGTTATACTAGGTGGTCAATAAATATTAATTTCCTTCTCTCTCAGATAAATATGGTATACCATGCATGGTAAGTGCTATGCCATAATTATCTGAGTAATGCTACCCAGGGTAGAACCTCAGAGCAAGAGAGAAGACTAGGCTCTGAACTTCCACCTTTTCAGGGGGCACAGTGAGGCTGGTGGTGGGGTAGGTGAACCATAGGGCACTAATGTCACAGGTTTCGGGAGTTTGATGGGTTTCCTGGGGCAGAGCATGACTCCATGGAGAAATTAGGCTGTGGCTTCAGCTTTATGCTAAGATATAGAAACAATTCACTCACTAGGTGGTGTCCTTGAGGGACAAGGAAGTTACCCTGAGGAGAGACTCAAAATGTACAATCTTGTTTGGGCTACTGGCTAGGGATTGGCAAGGAGGGAGGCTTTTGAAGGTAGTGGTCAAACTGCCTTCTGGTGTCACCTCCTGAATGTGTCAGATTCCTCCAGAGTGGGAAAGCTGTAAAGAAGCAAACAAGCAAATTAAAGGACAAAGCTTGAATCACAAGAGATACTACCAGAAACTCCCTTTTGTGGCCTAACAAAGTTTAAAGCCAGTTATGAGTCAGATGAGGGCCTTGCATTCTGACACAAGTATGCTTGCAGGCTAACACCAGTGAAGTTACGGGCTGCCTCCAGGAGCCATGGCCAGGCAGGCAAAGGCAGGAGCACAGGGTCACCATCTGTATAAGGAAAGTGGAGTCTGTCTATGCAGTGACCAGGGAGCCACAGAGTGAACATCCAGGTAGCAGGGAAAGAGAGTAAATGCCACAAAGTGAGGAAGGTGAGGACTGTCGTGGCTGCTTGGGGACACATTGTGAACACATGAGGGATTTCTCCAGACAGAAGGAAGGTGTTTGAACTTGACAAGCCATTGTAATACTTGCCGTGTCTCTGGTCACTGCTGAGAACTCTGCTCTACAGCTTGCAACCCTTATAACCATAACTGTTTGGAGTACCTGATCTAAGAGAGACATATTAAAGGTCTTCCAGGGGCCTCCAAGGTGGTCTGTTACTCAGAATCTCTGTTGTTGAGAGTATGGATATGAGATAGAAAGAGATCTGGAATGGCAGATATGGACGGACCCAGAGAGAAGCAGACGTGGAAAGAATAGCTGAACTCTAGAATAAGATTCATGAACTCCAGCTGCTGATGGGACCAGAAGACAACTCAGTTTCTCAGAGCTCCCTTTGGTTGCTGAACAAATTCTCAGCCCCAGTCTCCTGATACTTTGCTATTCCACTCTTCAGTCCTTCATGGGTTTGGTTCTTTGACCTATATGTGGCTAAGCATCATTGTCATCAGTGTCATCATTTTCTGACTTAGCCTTAAAAACACTCACTTACAGAGTTTTCATTCATTCTATGCAAACCCAAATGCCTGAAACTTTTGTTGTTAGGGACTGAGAAGAGGGGATTCTCACTCTGATGATCCATATTCTTCTATTGTATCTCCAGGCTGCCAAGGTCAGGGAAAGCCTGTGTTCCATATAAAGATTATTGGTGCCCAGAGAGAAGGGGATCTGACTGTTTGATGATTGGGAAGAAGACTCTGCAACGGAGGTTTTACTTGCGATAAAGCTGACAAGGGATGCTGGTG
This sequence comes from Homo sapiens, assembly GCF_000001405.40. Taxonomy (NCBI): domain Eukaryota; kingdom Metazoa; phylum Chordata; class Mammalia; order Primates; family Hominidae; genus Homo; species Homo sapiens. Next base: position 15,771,784 of record NC_000006.12, read on the forward strand.
TGGACGGGGCAAAGAGAGAGGGGATGTGTTCTCAGCAAAGGCAAGACTCCAGCATGTGCAAAGGCACAGAGGAATGAAAGTTTGAGTCATGGGGAGAAGGAATTGCTCTGTGTGTCTTGGGGCATGGTGGGCGGCGAGGTAGAGAATACCAGTTGGGCCAGACTATGAAAGTCACTGAAGCTATTGTAAAGCTTTCTTCTGGAGGTGAGTGGTGACTTTTAGTCAAGGGAGGTACACAACCAGTTTTCTGTTTGACATGGTAACTCTGGCAGTAACTAGGAGTTCTGGTTGATGGTAGTCCCATCCGGTCATCAGGAAGACCATCTGGAAGCTAATGAGACAATTCAGGTAAAAAAGTGAGGACCTGAACTGAGGTAATGACAGTGGAGGAGAAAGAGGAGAAAGACTGGGAGAGATTTAGAAAGTCGTCATGGCTGGACCTGATGAACGACTGCATATCATTGATGAGGAAGATGGAGGCAATGCAAGGAGGATGACTCTAAGTTTCTATTTGGGGCAACAGGAGCACGATGGTGGTATACATTGAAACAGACATCTCAGGAAGAAGAATACGCTCTGGGGGAAAGCTTGATCTCCGTTCGGGAAACATTGAGTTTGAGATGCTTCTAGGACACTGCAGTACAGATGCTGTCAGTAGTTGGAAATAGCATCCTAGAATTCAGGGGAGAGCCAGAATTGGAGATGTAGATTTGTGAGTATTTGCTGTATATGTGGTTTATGTTATGGGAAAACACGAGATCACCAGGGAAGAGCACCGTGATGGTGATAGGACAAGAGGTCCTAGGATAAAACTGGTGAAGATCAGTGTGAGAGATGGAGGCCTATTGAGTTGAAGAAAAGTAATGAACAAAGGCAGGTTGTAGTCTTTCAGCCTAGGCTTCATGAGGTTGAGCCCTTTGCTTTGCAGGTTTAGAAGCTTGTCTTTATTAGTTCACCTAAGGGATGAACTGACCAAGGTCTTGACATCTGATTCATCTAACCAAACTCATAAGAATCTGCTACCTAAAGTAGAATGAGGTTCTATTAATTCACAGGTGGAAATACTAAAATGCAGAAAACTAATCAGGTACTGATGAAAGGATATAAACTCCAAACTCATATTGCTTTGTGTGTTATCTGCTTAAAGGTGGAGACATTTCTATTAAAAAACTAGTATTGGCTGTCTTCAGTATTGGGTGGCCTATGGAATAATACAGGTGTACCTCATTTTATTGTTCTTCACTTTATTGTGCTCTGCAAATACTGCGTTTTTTAACAAGTTGAATTTCGTGGCCACCCTGAGTCAAGCAAGTCCATCAGCACCATTTTTTCCAACAACACTTGCTCATTTCATGTGTCAGTTTCAGCAATTTTTAGCAGTACAGCATTTCTAAGTTGAGGTATGTACATTGTTTTTAAAGCCATAATGCTATTGCACACATAGTAGACTACAGTATAGTATAAACATAACTTTTATATGCACTAGAAAATTAAAAAATTTATGTACTTGTTTTACCGCAATATTTGCTTTATTGTAACGGTCTAAAATCAAACCCACAATATCTCCAAGGTATGCCTGTTGTGTGACTGAAAACCCCCAAACTAAGTGTGCCGTAGTTAAATAAGTTTGATAAAACTTAAATCCTTCTCTTAGATGTTCACAAAGTACATATGAATTAAAGACTTTAAGAACTTCTCGAGTAAAGCAACCTGTTATGCTTAACCCAGCATTTGCAAATCCCTTGATCATAGAAGTTTCTCACCTATGATACCAGCCCTCATTTCTGGCCTGGCATAATCTGTCTAATCAATAGCTCCTCTTGGATGTATAACAGACATTTCAGCCTTCACGTGTTCAGAACCAGATTCTTGAAATCTGCCTTTCCCAGCTAGTTCTCATCTCCCCCAAGTTAGTAAATGTTAACTTCACTTTCCAATTGCTTGATCCCCAAATCTTGGAGGCTCTCTTTTTCTAACACTCTGTATGTAAAAATCAGCAAATCCTATTGGCTCTGTGAAAACATATCCCAAATCTGACTACTACTCAGCAGTTTCATTCTGACCATCCTAGTCCAAACTGCTGCCAGCTTCCTCCCGGACTATTACATTAGCTATCTAAGTGGTCTCCCTGCTTCCAAACTTGTTCCCCATAGTGTACTCTTCATACAGCAGCTTTTAAAACTCAAGTCAGATTGTGTCACTCCTCTGCTCAAAATCCTCCAATAGCTTCCCATTTCAGTCACAGCAAAAGCCACAATTCTTAGAGTGGCCTATGACGCCCTACCTGATCTGACCTTCCATTACTTCTCTGATTTGACCTCCCACCACTTTGCCCTTGGCTTACTCTGCTGCAGGCACACCGGCTTCCTTGCTCATCCTCCTGCCTCAGGACCTTTGCACTTGCTGGTTTTTTTCTGTGAGGAATGCTCTTCTCCAGACATCAGCATGGCTCACTTCCTCATTTCATTAGGGTCTCTGCTCAAATGACCACTCATTTTCTAACCATCTTATTTAAAATATATCTGCTTTGTGTTTCTTCATAGCATTTTTCAGCATGTCACTGTGTGTATATATGTGTATGTGTGCATATTTTGTTACTATCTGCACCCCCTGCCTCCCCCACAACTAGGATGTAAGCTCCCTGAGAAGGACTTTTACTTTTTCATTGCTGTATCCAGTATTTCAAAGAGTGTCTGACATGGCATAAATATTTTGTTAAAGATCTGAATAAACGAATACCCCCATTACTAGATCTGCAGAACACACCATGAGAAACCGGTTTAGACTTTTGGTGCCTGCTCTGGGCCGTGATATAGATTCATTTTTCCTTTTTCTTTTATTTTCTTTATTTTTGAGACAGAATCTCACTCTGTTGCCCAGGCTGGAGTGCAGCGGCATGATCTCAGCTCACTGGAACCTCCATCTCCAGGGTTCAAGCGATTCTCCCTGCCTCAGCCTCCTGAGTAGCTGGGATTACAGGCGCCGCCCCCACGCCCGGATAATTTTTAAATTTTTAGTAGAGATGGGGGTTTTGGAATGTTGGTCAGGTTGGTCTCACACTCCTAACCTCAGGTGATTTACCCCCCTCAGCCTCCCAAAGTGCTTGGGATTACAGGCGTGAGCCACTGTGCCCAGCCCCTTTTTCTTTTCTATATTCCTTATCAATCATCATGTTGTTATATAAGTACCTGCAGTTGCAATTTTTCCAGACTGTATTTTATGCTGGTTTCATTTGAGATTGTTTGCAATATCATTAGAAAACAATCTCCAAGTCACAGGGATGGATAGACTACATCTGAGAGGTTCCTGGGATGGGCTAATCTCATCTATTTATATTGTTTTAAAAAATAACTCATGATTTTGAAGTTCAGTTTGTTTTCAAAGGGTAAGGTTAGAAACTTGGAAAAGGCCTTAATAAAATGCAGGCTCTGAACCTAGACTTGTAGACATGGGTGTCTTTGGTTTAAAGCATGCTGTACTGTAAGAGGTCAAAATTTGGGGGTTTAAAATAGAAGGATGGAAAGCACCAGAGTCAGCTGATATAGAAGTCAATGAACACTTATGTTTGGTTTCAGGTGAATATCTATATTCATCTCAAGCAGAGCGCACAGTTTTGCCTTATACTTGTTTAACTGTTTATTGTCAGTTTCCCCAGCTAGAGTGACAGTCCCATGAGAGGAGGGGCTTGTCTTGTCTACTGCATTTCCAGTGCCTAAATGGTACCTGACATGTAGTAGGTGCTGGTTAAATACTGGTCCCTTGGTCATGCTTTGCGCATGTCCATTCTAGTCTTTTCCTGCTGCCTACTAAAGACTTATTCTTTGCTTCATGACTTACTTATTTGGTGCTTTTTACTTAATGATGCTCAACATGTACTTTCATACATACTAACTCAGGAGACTGTTAATATTTGTTGAGTACCTACTATGTGTTTGGAACAAAGGTACAGGAGTATGTGAAGTTAGTATTCTAACCCATAATAAGCTACTTAGTCTCCATGGATAGCTTGTATTTTGAAGCAGGAAATGCCTATATAAAACTTTCTCCTGAAAAAAATAGAGTCAAAAATATCTAAAAGTGCTATCTGATGTTTCCTTGCCATTTATGGAAGAGAACAATGGAATGTATCAAATAAGGGAAAGAAACGAAGACAGAGAGAGTATTGACTTAAGTAAAAGGTCACATGCTTACTAAAGGAATTGCAACACAAGCCAAGCAATTCATAGCATCTCATCAAAGATGCGGGATTCCATCACTGGAACCTGGGAGGTGGAGTTTGCAGTGAGCCGAGATCGTGCCACCGCACTCCAGCCTGGGCTACAAAGTGAGACTTGGTCTCAAGAGAAAAAAAAAAAAAGATGCTGGATTCCACTTACCTTTCCCCAGTGAAGATTCAAAAGCCTATTAGCCTGTTTGAACTAAGATGTCAGACGGTGGCCTCAAACTCCAATCAATAATAGCACAAGGACTGAAGGCACCCACTGTTTCTCAAGAGTTCCAAACCACTCTTAATACAGTTTTACATTCCATCTAATATTTTGTTCTTGATGTTTTCTGATCTTCCAATTGTACTACACCCCTAGGGAAAAACCAAAATTTTTTTTATGAGAAAGCTAATTTTCAATTAGTAGAGTTAAGAAGAAAATCTTATAAACTTTCCTTCCTAAGCATATAGCTATACCCTTGAGAGAACCTTAGCTCATTGTGTGCTCATGAAAAGAACACAATATCCTGTATGAGTCAAACCTGAAGATGCCAAATGGTGATATATAAGCTTTTAAAGAAGGTTAGAGAACTGAGCCAACACTTTAGTTTTGTTCTTTAAGGGTAGAATGCTGGGGGTTATGGGCACTGCATATTATGCAGGAGGGGTGATGGATGATGTCCTCATTATCCTTGTTTTCTAGATTTGGCTGGTTGCAAGGTGGGGCTGGAAAGTCCCTTGTTGGTAATAACGTCAAGTGTATTGATACTTGTGACTCAGAGGCACCATTAAAATTGATATGTAAGTGTGAAGTGTGATATGTAAGTGTGAAGGTAATATGGTTTCTCTTCTTATTTCTCCATAATACTCATGGGACACTTTCGATGATTTAAAGCAGAATGATTTATTATGACTTTAATGTTCTAAGGAACTCTTCTATCTACCCTTGACCTCATCTCAACTGCCATTGTTTTAGTAAGGGTTCTGGTTAGAAATCTTTTCTACCAAGGGTAGGAACTTTTTTGTTATTGGGGTTGGCCCTCTGAAGTTTCACTGAAAAATCAGCTCACAGAAGGCAGGTTAATTGGAGAAAAGGTGTACAAGTTTCATGTGTATACACAGAAGACTTCAGAATGAAGACCTGAAGATACAGGGGAATTGTCCATTTTTATGCTTAGGTTCAACAAAGGATGGACAGCCATGTAGAAATGTGATTGGAACCAGCCTGGGCAACATAGTGAGACCCTGTTTCTACCAAAAAAAAAATGTAGCTAGACACAGGGGTGCATGCCTGTAGTCCCAGCTATCAGGAGGCTGAGGCAGGTTGTTTTTGGCTGCTGCCAGTTTCTGGTGATCGTCAGCATTCCTTGACCTGGGCAGCAACACTCCAGTCTTTTCTCTGTGGCCACATTACCTTCTCCTGTAATGTCTGTGTAATTTCCCTTTGCCTCGCTCTTATAAAGGCACCTGTTAGTGCACTTAGGGCTCACCTGGATCGTCCAGGGTGAACTCCTCATCTTAAGATCCCTAACTTCATTGCATCTGAAAAGAATCTTTTCCCACATAAGATCGCATTCATAGATTCTAGGCATTAAGGCATGGGCGTGTCTTTGGGAGCTGCACCATTCAACCCAGTCTATATGCCATATTTATTATTCTGTATGTGTAGCTTAAGTCAGTCTCGCTAGCAGCTACAAAGGTTTTTAAATTAGCATTCTGACCTGAACCTTCATAAATCATTATTCCTTGAGGACAGCAGCCAAGGACAAGACTAGATTAAGATTTTGAACAGGAGAATGGTTGATAGAGGGAGTTAGACACTCATAACCAATTGCCAGAGACGAGGCAGGAAATTCACATGCGTTAAATATCTTTTCCATTCACTTGCAAATGTGGCCTTGTGGCCAGGTGCTGTGGTTCAGACCTGTATTCCCAGCACTTTGGGAGGCTGAGGCAGGAAGATCACTTGAGGCCAGGAGCTCAAGGCTGCAGTGAGCTGTGATCTTGGTATGCAGGGAGTGCCACTGCACTCCAGTCTGGGCATCAGAGAGAGACCCTGTTTTCAAAAAAAAAGATGGCCTTGTTTGATTCTTATTACAAATCTGTGATGGACCTCGTCTAATCCATACTCCTGTAAATGTGGAAACAGGCTCAAGAAGCTAGGTAACAATGTTCTTAAGTCCCACCAACCAAGGGCAGAGCCAAGATTTTGATCCAAATCTGTTATTGTCTCCAAAGCATACATCCTCTGTCACAAGTGAGGATTTCTGGGTGCATCTGGGACCTCCAAGCCAGCTGTTACTGCCATATGCCTATGTCCTCCCTCTGCTGGGGTTCCCAATAGGGAGAAGAGGACAGAGCTCTTAAGGCTTTGACAAAAGTTGAGTCCTTGGTCTAAGTCAATAGTTTCTGGATTCTATACACTATATTAGGAAAGGAGAGGAAAGAAATAATTATGAACAGTGTTCTTGTCTGTCACGATCATATATGATTACCATCATTGCATCTCCATAACTAGAAAACTGAACAGGTAGGACAGGTTTGAAAAATCCAAATGTGATTTTCAGGGTGGGGGATTGAACAAGGATATATGAAGGTATCAGTGTGACAATTTAGTAATCAGTTTCTTCCTCAATAAATTTAAAGAAAAACCCAGAGGCAGTAAGTTTTTTTGTGAAAACTAATTATGACACTTTGAATTTCAAAATGAGTAAACATACTTTGGAGGAAAGAAAGCAAATACATGGAAGATAAAACAGTTTGGTTTCAAGATTAACACTTAAATATAAATTTTGAATGTCTCTTTGCTAGGTAAGGAAATTTTTTATTCTAACTGTGAAGAACTGGAGAGAGAATTTCTTCTCTGGTCATATGCATGAAATTCAGATCCTTTCTTGCTTCACTTTAAAAATAATTGAATAACATCAGCGTCCAAGAATTTGAAGACAGCATAATTAATAGATGGATGATAATTCAACCTGCCTGAGAGAAACTGCGTTTAAGAAGAAAGCCCCGGCCGGGCATGGTAGCTCACGCCTGTAATCCCAGCACTTTGGGAGGCCGAGGCGGGCGGATCACGAGGTCAGGAGATGGAGACCATCCTGGCTGACGTGGTGAAACCCCGTCTCTACTAAAAACATAAAAAATTAGCTGGGCGTGGTGGTGGGCGCCTGTAGTCCCAGCTACTCGGGAGGCTGAGGCAGGAGACTGGTGGGAACCCGGGAGGCAGAGCTTGCAGTGAGCCTAGATCGTGCCACTGCACTCCAGCCTGGGCAACAGAGCAAGATTCTGTCTCAAAAAATAAATAAAATAAATAAATAAATAAATAAATAAATAAAAAGAAGAAAGCCCCTGATGGCTCAGCCCTTGGTAAGAGTGTATTCCTGCTAAAGATGGAGGTTAAATGCTTAGAATTGCTGAACAGTTACCTCCTTTGCAACGGTTATTAAGCAGAGTAGCTGATTTTTAATTAGATTTAAATGTGTGACTCACTAATGGTTAATGACAAACAATTTAATTATCGGGCCTTTCATTTTTTCTGGAAAGCCTCAGACTGCTCCTGGAATCCTTAATGTGGGCATGTGAAGAATATGGGCATTAATGGGTCTCAGAAGTTTTTCTGTTTTATCTTGTGGACAAAGGCACAAATGGTTAACTCGATTTTATTGAATGTCTCTTCATAGTCAAGATAAGGTTAATGCCCCTGGGGGCTTGGAGATCCACACCAGGACACAGCCCCATTGGTTGGCTTCATTGCCTGCTCTCTTACCCTCCTGGATCCAGCTCCTGAAAGTGTTTTACTTTTTACCAGGATGCTTCTAGAGGATGTCAACTGATTAGCCAATCAAGGTAGGTTCTGATAAGATGTAGACCCCTCCAGGCATATTTAAATCCTATTAATGGATTCTTCCAGAGAGAAAGCCTTTTGAGATGTAGAGAGATGACGCTGTGATAGTGGGATGACAGATCTGGGGTTAATAATTCCTGGCAGGAGAGCCTGCCTGGAGTGTCTCATGTCTCTCCAATGATGGCAGATGCCTCCTTGCTAACTAGGAGCTGACTGAACTGGCCGTTCTGAAAGCAGTAGCTGTGGCTATAGCTGAAATGACAGTCACACATGGTCAGCGTAAAAAGGACTCTGATCATTTAAGTCATCTTCACACATGATCACAAGTGTCTGCAAATTCCAAAAGCAAAGTGTACTTGGTATCATAGACTCTTAAGGCTGTCTCTGGCCATCACTCATAGTATGGGGCATGCTCAGTCTTCTGGAATTTACAGCTATCAGCCAGGATGATGGTGTCTTTCCAAGTTGAAAAATGTCTTTCAGATGTTAACTAAAATTTTAAACAAACTGTTTAGGCAAAGATGTCACAGAGAGGCTATTTACATTTAAGATAGCAGGTACATTTAGTAATATAATCTGTGACATTTACAGAAAACTTATTGGACATTAACTTTTGTCTTCCAATAACCCTATGAGGGAGGTAGTATTATCCAAATTTACAGATGATAAAACAGAGAGGTTAAGTAACTTGCAGAAGGTGACCCAGCTGGTAAGTAGCAGAGCTGGTTTCGAAGCCCACACTCTTACCTATAATGCTAAAATTTGCATATGTAATCTATGTGATTCTTACTTTCAGTTGCATAATTGATTTTGCCACATGGATGAAGACAACTTGAACAAGGGCAACATGGACAGCAGAGAGGCACTAGAGCATGATAGTCTAAAGCATGGATTCCTGTGTCACCTAGTATGAGTAGATCCCCGAGGTCTAGCACATACAGCTGTGAAAGCTTGGGCAAATTGTCTTAGGACTTCAGTTTTCTCATCTGCAAAATGGGGACAATAAGTGTATATAACTCATAGGATTGTAATGGTTATAGGCGACAACTGTGACAATACCTAACATTAATTGAATGCTTCTTTTTGTGCCAATGATGAGAAAGATGGACGTGATTAGCTTTGCCCCTGGCACATAAGCATTTTCATTAGCTATTCGTATTATTATTTAATACTACCTGTCAAACCCATTTCGACAAACTTCAAGAGATCATCAACTTCTTTTGCCATATCAGAATTCTGACCTACCGAAAATCGCTCTTTATAAGTGGGTCAGGGATGGAGCTTGGAAATCTTTTTTGTTATGTACAATTTCACCTATAATTTATTTTCCATTTTAATCTAATGCATAATTGAACACACTTTTAGAATATCACATTATATATTGCTTCTATTACTCTCAGAAATACTTTGTCTTTGTCATAGGGTATTACTAAATCTAGCTGAATTTCCAACTTCCCAAGAACCTGATAAACAGGCTCATTTTTCTTCACAGATTAGTAAGGAGAAGGAAATTAACTCTGAATCCTGATTCTTGTCTATAGTTTAAGGGAAAAAAATACAGTTAAAGTGACTTGAAATCATAGTCATAATCAAAATGATGGGGTTATTCTGCAGCTGTCAGGGGTACCCATGAGCTGCAAAGTAGCACCTGCAATAACAGCCTTGATTTTCTAATCCATTTCACAATCCACTCTTGGCATGAAGCACGTTCTACCTTTCGAACTGTCAGATTCTTGGGCTGAGCAAATTGGGTACAGCTTTTCGATTACACATTCAGTTCTTTCCCAGCTTTAAAACTGATTTCACATTACCAGTATGATTTATCAAGGAGAGAGCCATCTTAAGGCACAAGCCTAAGTTATAGAGGTGGCCCTGGGGTGTAAGCAAAAGCACTGCAGAATTTCAGATATAATAAAACAGGGTGAGCCTGCTATTACCTGTGTCCTAGATACAAAAGATACTCTTCTGATAGCCTGGAACAGCTGGCACCAACACCTCACTTTATTAGGGGGCTGCTGTTTCCATATTTCCAGGCCAGGAAGCCCTATTTCTTAGTAGCTAGAATTGTATTCATTAAAAAAAACAAACAAACCAGGTTTGTATCACTCTTACCAAGCAATCAAGCATAGTCTGTTGATTAGGGCCAGCCTGAAGCCAACTAGTCGGGTAAAGTTAGCTGTCTTCTTTCCAATTAGTGCTTCTTGCCCCTCCTCCATAGGCCTGCCCAAGGCATCCAATACCTATGCTTCCCACTTCCTTCTAGCAAAACCAGCTCTCACACCCTTTAATCAAGCCTCAGTACAGTTGACCCTTGAACAATGCAGGAATTAGAGGCTCTGACCTCGTGCACAGTAAAAAACCTGCATAACTTTTGACTCCCCCAAAATTAACTAATAGCCTACTATTGACCAGAAGCCTTACCCAAAACATAAACCAATAACATATGTGACTAACCATATTTTATATAGGTATTATACACTATATTCTTTTTTTGTGTGTGTGTGTGTTTTATTTATTATTATTATACTTTAAGTTTTAGGGTACATGTGCACAATGTGCAGGTTAGTTACATATGTATACATGTGCCATGCTGGTGCGCTGCACCCACTAACTTGACATCAGTATATTCTATGATAAAGTAAACTAGAGAAAAGAAAATGTTATTAAGAAAATCATAAAGGGCCAGGTGTGGTGGCTCACGCCTGTAATCCCAACACTTTGGAAGGCTGAGGCAGTGAATTGCTTGAGCCCAGGAGTTTGAGACCAGCCTGGGCAACATAGCAAATACAAAAAATATGAAAATTAGCTGGGCATGGTGGCACATGCCTGTAGTTACAGTTACTTGGGAGGCTGAGGTGGGAGGTTCACTTGGGATGGGAGGTTGAGGCTGCAGTGAGCTATGATTGTGTCACTGAACTCCACCTTGGACAACAGAGTGAGACCCTGTCTCAAAAATAATCGTAAGGAAGAGAAAATATATTTACCATTCATTAAATGGAAGTGGACCATCATAAAGGTCTTCATCCTCGCCATCTTCACATTGAGTAGGCTGAGGAGGAGGGAGAGGATGGGTTGGTCTTGCTGTCTCAGGGGTGGCAGAGGCAGGAGAAAATCCACAACCCACATATAAATGGACCTGCACAGTACAAACCCATGTTGTTCAAGGGTCACCTGTACTGTAATGTGCTTGATCTTCTTAAGGCTTTTACTTTTGCTCTCCCAACTCATTACACTGTCAGAGGCCAAATCCCTAACTGGGGGACAGTGTAATGGAGGAACAATTGAATGAGAAGATTGGACGTTCAAAGTCTGGGTTTTAGATCTGCTATCTATCAGGCTTTTCACCCACCCATTCACTCTGGGCCCTCAGTTTCTTTACCTGTCAAATGGCTAGGTTGGAGAATCTGGATTTTTATAACTCATAGGCTCATGGATCATTAGTGATGCTCATTCTGCAGAAGAGGAAAGCAAAATACAGCATTATTTCTTTTCTCTGCTCTGATGTTCTGCAATTCTAAGAGTTGGAATCTAAACTCATGGGGAAACATTTTGAGGATGTTAACACATTATCCCTGAATATATACCTCATCATGGGCACGGAGATGGGGCAGGAACTGGTATGAATTCAGTGTCTTGTGAAGTGCATGCTGTGGCCCATAGGATTCTCACTGCTGCTCTTTGAAGAATATAATGTTATTGTCAAAATGGAGGTGAGGATATCGAGACTCAGGACTTACCCAAGGCTATACCACTAGAAAGTGGCAAGGTCTATCAATTTTCCCAGTGTCTACCACAAGACTGGCCCCATGCATAATATCTGACTTGAAAGATAATTCTGGGAAAATTCCTGTGATCCCAGGTGGGAAGTCCCAGCTGCTCTGCTTGTTGGCCCATCCCCAACATTCTCGTGTTCAAAGAATCTGGATTTCTTTAGACTCAAGAGTCCAGCATAAGATGGGTAGTTGCACCTAAGACAGTGCCAACGAACACACTTTACCTGGGGCCAGCTTCAACCATAGGTACTGGGTAGGTGACCAGCTAGTGTTGTTGGAAGAAGATTGTAAGGTCTCCTGTTACAGCCCATCTGTTCTGTTAGGGTGGTCAGCTTGTCTCAATCTCCCTGGGATGTTCTCAGTTTTTTTTTAATTTTTTAATTATTATACTTTACCTTCTAGGGTGCATGTGCACAACGTGTGGTTTTGTTACATAGGTATACATGTGCCATGTTGGTTTGCTGCACCCATTAACTCGTCATTTACATTAAGTATTTCTCCTAATGCTATCCCTCCCCCAGCCACCCATCCCATGACAGGCCCTGGTGTGTGATGTTCCCCGCCCTGTGTCCAAGTGTTCTTATTGTTCAATTCCCACCTATGAGTGGGGATGTTCTCAGTTTTAAAACTGATACTCCCAGGTCTAGAGAACTCCCTCTGTCCCAAGAAAATGGAATGGTTTGTCATCCTACAATTTCCTGAGCTCTGAATTTCTGTAATTGGGAGAATATACCTTATACTCTATATTCAATACAAATAAAACAAATTTCTTCCTGTTGGCATGTTACCTTATCAAACTTGGAGGTTATGTTTGAGATGCAAATAGAGACTTCTATGGAGTATGCAAAGTTTATTTTGGGGCAGGAAGACTCTCAAATGAGCCAAAACCTGGATGCAGTAAGAAGCCTCGAGATTGTTGGTTGGGAAAGCAATGCCACAGATACATTCTCATGAGCACAAGCCATGCTCCAGACTGATGCTCCCAATTGCAGGGTTGAGGTGCAATAAAGCTGCTTCCCACCTGAGTAAGTCTGTTGGTTAAGAAGCAGGCGAGTGGCCACAGAGAACTGTTTGTTTAACCAGGAACTACAGTTATTGGTTCTGTTCAGCCAACCTGGAAAAATCGGGTAATTACAATTGCAAGGGGCAAACTCTAACTTAAAGGTACATGCACAAGCTCAGATGTGGATACTGACATAGTTTGGATGTGTGTCCCCACCCAAATCTCATATTGAAATGTAATCCCCAATGTTGGAGGTGGGGCCTGGTGGGAGGTGATTGGATCATGGGGCCAGATTTCTCATGAATATACACAGAAAGATTTGCCCACCCTTGTTCTAACTGAAGGGAGATAGAGATTCCCAGAATTCATGAAATGAATGAATTAGGAACCTTCCAGGGAGAAATGGGCACCTTCCAGGGATAAGAAAAGAGCAATGGCATTTGTTGAATACCATGCCAGGCACTTAACACATACCATTTAATTTGATTCTTTTGGTAACCTTCCTTGTACATCACCATCCCCCTACACTGGGTCCCTTGCACAGATGAGGAAAAGGGGGCTCAGGCCCAGGGAAAGGGTAAGGGCTTGTGCAAGTTCATATGGCTGCCTGACCTCCATGCTCCATCCAGCCTACTAACTGGGGACAGGGCACAGAGAATGGACTTCCTCAGTTTGCCTGGGGAGGCCCTGTGTGCACAGGAATTACCTGCTGAATTTTGAGACTAGGGAAGCCCACAGTGGGACAGTTATTTAGCACAGCTTCATGTGCCAGTGCCAGGAGGCAATACAGGCTCAGATGTGGATACTGACATAGTTTGGATCTGTGTCCCCACCCAAATCTCATATTGAAATGTAATCCCCAATGTTGGAGGTGGGGCCTGATGGGAGGTGATTGGATCATGGGGCCAGATTTCTCATGAATGATTTAGCGCCATTGCTCTTGGTATTGTCCTTGAGTTAGTGAGTGAGTTCTCTTGATATCTGGTTGTTTAAAAGTATCTAGCACCTCCCCCTTCACTCTCTGGCTTCTGCTTTCGCTATGTGAAGTGTCTGCTCTCGCTTTGCCTTCTGCCATGACTGTAAGCTTCCCCAGAAGAGGCCTCCCCAGGAGCCAAGTGATGTTGGTGCCATGCTTGTATAGCCTGCAGAATCATAAGCCAATTAAACCTCTTTTCTTATAAGTTACCCAGTCTCAGGTATTTGTTTATAGTAATGCAAGAACGGCCTAATACACATACCAAAGACCAAATGTATCCAGACAGCAAACAGAACCACTGGAAGGTACAGGAATCAGTATATCTAGAGGTAGCCAAGCAAGTTCCCAGGTGGCCCACAGCTGGGGGCGGGGAGTGGTGTCCCAAATATGCCTGCGCATCAGAGGGGGACATGCAGCTCGACACCACTCTGGCCTCACTCCCTGGAGATTCTAATTCAGGGAGTCTGAGAGGGGATGGAAAGGTGAACTTTAAACAAGCCAACTTAACCACTGCCAATTTGGGAACTACTGATTTACAAAGTGGAACCCAGAACCCAGAAAATGAGGCCTGCATCCTGTTCCTTTCTCAGCTACAGACTAACTTTGAAAAGCAATTTTAAATCTTAGGTGCCTTCTGTGATGGCGTGAATAGGTAAGTCGCCTTGTGAGTGGTCAAAACATGGCACAGCACTCATTTATCATCTTCATGTCTCAGTTTCCCCAAATGTGTGATGAAATGATATCTGAAAGCACTTTTCTGAAATCTTGTGAGGATAAGTTAAATGCAAACATGGAGTACTTTGAGCTCTTTGGAGGAGAGGAATTCCAGTGATTATTAAAATAGCGCTTTACTGTAGTAGCCAAATGAAGTGCCATTTTTAAATTCTTGATCATCTTGAAGATGCAGTTCTTGAGTCATGAAGCCCATAACAATCTCTTAGTTATTCAGGTGAAAATCAGTTGGAACTACGTGTATCATCTTCCTGTACTTAGAGGGGGAAGCAGCTATCGAGGGTCCTTCTCTTCTTTCTTCCCCTGACCACAGGCACTTTATGTAAACCCACCGGTCTGTGTTCATGGGTAGAGGGACCAATCTTTAACCAGTTCACTTGAGTTCCTATTTCATTCAGTAGCTAATGCAGGAAACCTTAACAGGGTCTCTGGTGTGCAAATGGACTCTGTTTCAAAAGTTCATTTGGAACTTGGAAAATGACAATGTGTCTAAACTGTGGTTAGTTCACCTCCCTTCCCTCACATCCTTAAAAATATCATTTAACAGTTACCTGAAGTCCTGAGCAAAGAAGGTGAAAGAACTGGGCAATTATGTTTAGCACTGTGTTTATGGGGTAACACATAGAGCAAAGAAAAAACAGTTTCCTGACAGAGACATCGGGGATTGGGGACATCTGCCTTCCCCTAGAAAAAGCACAGTCTCCCTCTTCAGCTGGCCAGAGGGAGAACACTCAGCTGCACATTGAAGTTGGCGGTGGCTTCTATGACGTGGCTGGGTTAGGTTGGGTTTGGGTTTTAAGGTGTAAGAATAAGATTGTTGGCTCTTCAGCTGTGGGATGGAGATATTCAGAATCAACTTATGTCCATCAACAGATGAATGGATAAAGAAACTGGGTGTATGAACACAGTGGAATACTACGCAGCCTTTGAAAAGAAGGAAATTCTGTCGTGTGACACAAGGATGGAGTTAGAGAACATTATGCTAAATGAAATGAGGCAGGCACAGAAAGATAAATACTGCATGTTCTTACTTTATGTGGGATCTAAAACAACCAAACTCATAGAAGCAGAGAGTAGGATGGCAGTTTCTAGAGGCTGGGGGTGGAGGGGAAAATGGGGAGATGATGGTTAAAAGATACAAAGTCTTAGTTAAACAGGAGGAATATGGGTTTTGTTTTTTTTTTTTTTTAGTTCTGTTGAACAATATGGTGAATATAGTTAATAATAGAGTATTGTACATGTCAAAATTGCTAAGAGAACAAATTTCAAATGTTCTCACCACAAAAAGTGATGTGTTTGAGGTGATAGTTTGCTAATTGGCTTGATTTAATTATTCTACATTGTATTCATAAATCATGATAACCTCACTTTATATCCTTAAGCATTACTTTAGGGTGATGTTTTACCGAGATTACTTTAGTCATCTGTCCAACCGGGCCAAGAGGCAGGAAACGGAGATGATCTTTTGAGACTCTTCTATCCCACCCCACCTCCAGTTCTTTCTTCCTCAGCTGCCTTTCCTTCCCAACTCCCACCCTCTCCTCCTGCCCCACCCTAGCACCTGTTCCATTTCGCATTCCTGCAGGGCTTTCCTCTCCCATTGAGCTCTCACCTGAGAAGACAGATTTGCCAGTGAAAGCCCCAGAGAGTTTTGCCATCACACCTTTTTTCTTTCTTGGTTCTGTTGTATGGGGTGGGGTCTGGTGTGGGCAGAATTCCATCACCCATTAAAGTTTGGTTTTTGTCTCCCACACCTCTCCAGCTCTATGCTTTTTAGCTAGAGGATTGAACTTGAGCAAATGTGTAATTTTTGTATGCTTCAGTTTTTATTACAAAATGGAGATCATACTTTCCCTCATTTTCATCCTCTTCCCCGTTGAGCTGTTTGTTCTTCCCTCCCACATGCCCTCCCGATTCTCTCCTCTTCCCATGACCTCGGCTGACAGACGTTCAGGCCTTCATCACCTTGAGAAGGGATAGATTCGATGACTTGTCCCCAGCCCCCGTCACTGTCCACAGGGGCCTGTGCCACTGTGCCATGTTGTTTCTGAAGTGCAGTCATTCCTCACCCACCACAACAGCCATGGCTGGGCTCAAGTACAGCCCCTCAGTTGGGGCTCTGGCTTCCTTGCCTTGTCTCCCATTTCTTCTCCTTACATACCCCCTCTGCTCAAGACAATTCATGCTAGCCTGTTTCCAGAAAAAATTCTCAACACTTCTGGCCTGATATGGTTTAGCTGTGTCCCCACCCAAATCTCATCTTGAATTGTAGCTCCCATAATTCCCGCATGTCATGAAAGGGACCCAGTGGGAGGTAATTGAATCATGGGGGAGAGTCTTTCCTGTGCTGTTCTCACCATAGTGAAGAAGTCTCAAGAGATCTGATGGTTTTATAAAGAGGAGTTCCCCTGCACACGTTTTCTCTTGCCTGGTGCCATGTAAGATGTGACTTTCCTCCTCCTTGCTTTCCACCATGATTGTGAAGCCTTCCCAGCCATGTGGAACTGAGTCAATTAAACCTCTTTTCTTTATAAATTACCCAGTCATGGGAATGTCTTTATTAGCAGCATAAGAACAGACTAATACATGGCTTTTGCTGATACTTTTTCATCCTCATGGAATATTATTTCAGCTCAGCAAATTGAGAGCCTAATTTCAGCTCAAATTATATGCCACCTCCTCCATGACATTTTACTCATGGTAGCAGCCACAAGTAAGCCCCTCCCGTCCTGTGCTCCCTACCTACAGCACTCATATGTGCCAGCTGTGAATGCTGTTTGCTGATCCACTTGTCTCCTCTCCTCCACTAGATGATAATGGGAGCCTAAGGAGTGCAGGGGAAAGTTTTGCTTGGAATTAGAAGATGGGGCCCTGACGTCAACCTGGTTGTTAACAATGGAAGGTTACTTAGCTTTTCTGGGCTTCAGTTTCCTCATCTATTAAATGAAGTGGTTGATCCAGGTGCCCTTGAAGGTCTCCACCAGCACTAAGTCTCTGTGAACTCTTTAGCAGAACTTTAGGGTCCACCCAACAATATGTATTTATCTTCTCTCCTTGCCTCTGCCTCTTTCTGAAAGGGGATGAGAATTAGCTGAGCATTTTCTCAGTGGCAGTGGGCTACCCAGTAATGCAGAGGGCACTAAAATGGTAGTTAAAAGAATGGGCCTTGGGTCATTCAGGTTGGAGTTTGAATTCAGCTCTATACTTTTTAACTAGAGCATTGAACTTGAGCAAATGTGTAACCTTTGTATACTTCAGTTTTTATTTATAAAATGGAGACCATAAGAACATCTACCCCAGAGGGTTGCTGACAGGTTAAGAAGATAATTTAATGAAGGTCTCATAATAAACAATAAATAGATGTATAAGTGGTAAAGACCCACCTTCTATCAAGACAATGTGTGGGAGTTACTTAACCATGTCTGGGTCTCAGCCATGGATGCACATTAAAATCATCTGGGGAGCTTTTTTTTTTAAAAAAAATACCATCACCTGGGCCCCAGTCCAAAGTGAATCAAAATCTCTGGGGGGTAGCATTCTGGCATTGGTATTGTTGAAGCGGTTCTCCTCTCCAGGTTTTTCTAATTTACAGCAAGATTGTGAACCATCGTTCTAATGAGAATTTAATCGACCCTAAGAGAGGAAAATCCACACGTTGAATAACAAATTTCTAAGACATGCTTTAGAGAAGTTTGAGGCACTTGGGCAAAGAAAGTCCTGCTTCCCCAGTGCAGGAGCCATGAAGTTCTCTAAACTCATGTCTATCTCCTGGATTCTTCCTAGTAGGCCTAGATAAAAAGCAACCTGCCTGAGCTAGGAATGGCACTTAGGAAATGTCTCATGACTCTGAGTCCCAACATTTGAAGTCATTCTGGAGGCCTTCAAATCTCTCCCAACCCTCTAACTGATTATATGGATTTAAAATTCAAAATCTCTAGTCAACTACTTTTTCCAGTTCCCTGTTCCAAATGTAACTTAATAGGCTGTCACCATGGAAACAGGTATTTCTCCTTGAGGACCAATCCTCCTCTTGAAAATCTGTCTCTTCTATCATTTGATTATGATCAACGAGGGGTCATGAAAAGCAAGATTTATATCCATGGAATATGTGTAAAGAATCTGGATTTAGACTCTTCTGAGGGATGGTACAGCACTTTCTCTGAATCTGTTAAAGTTCCATTTTTGATAATAAGATACTCTTGCCCTTCTGGGAAGGAGGAAAAAAAATCCTGTTTCAAGAATATCGCTCAGTACTAGCTAGATGCGTTTCCAAATGTGAGAAAGTAAAATTATCATTTTAATCTGCCTCATTCTCACTTTTTGGGATCCAAAGGGTAGAATAAAAGACCAGTTTCAGACTGGTGCCTGTTTCAGACTGGTGCAGGGGGTGCCAGTAGCTCTGGGCCGGGGGGTCTGTACCCCAGGTTCCCCACCTACTGAAGGGCAGTGATCCACACAGCCCTGCTGGGGGTCTGCAGTGCCCTTCTGGGCCCTTCTTAATCCTAACAATTTCTGAAACATGCCCAATCATTTGGCACTTTGGCCTTCACGGATAATGGAGAAAATGGGAAGGAAGTGAGGAGGGAACCAGGTGGGAAGCCGAATGTGAGAAAAGGAGAAGAGCAGGAGAGAGAGGCCTCTGGTGAAGAACCACGCAATTCTGCAGGGAGAAGCAATGCTTGGCAGGTATGGTGCCTTGTTCCTGGACCAAACTGAGGGTCAGGCTGCTATTTCTCGTGGCCCAATAATGAGATGCAGATGGACTGGGGAGGAAGAGAGTTTTTCTTTCTGTAACCAGCTATAGGGAGAAGGCCTGGAAATTATCACCAGACCAACTCCAAATTACACAGTTTTCCAGAGCTTATATACCTTCTAAGCTATATGTCTGTGTGTAAGTGTGCATTTATCTAAAGACCGAAGTGATTAACTTCTTTTAATATATAACAGACCTATAACAAAGGTCTGAGTCCTGAAGACCTTCCTCTGGAGCCTCAGTAAATTTACTTAATTTAAATGGGTCCAGGTGCTGGGGTGATTACTCTTTATCTTCTTTCCTGCTAAATCATGAAGGTTCAGACCCCCCAGTAAACTGGTTTGTGGAGGCCAGAGGAGTTTCTTCAGACCCACAATGAAACTTGTTTAATCATAAATGTGTCCTGTTAAGAGTTCCTTCATTATTTTGTCATGCCCGAGTTTCAGGAAATGCCTACGCAAAACTCTTGGGCTTTTGTTACATTCCAGCCTTTGTATAAGGGCACTGGCTTTTCTTAGCTTTTAATATTTAACTAACCACTCAGTCAGTACTGAAACAGTTGTTATGGAGGCCTGTGTTAGTGAGACCTGGCCTGCCACATTGTTACATGTCACCATGGCAAGGCTGAACTGTGCTTCCCAGAATTCCCTTTTCTGCATAATTCCAGTTAGGGTGGGCCACAAGAGACATCTTGCACAGGACAGGACAGCATCATATTGTCTGTGCATTCGGTAGCTCGGCACTGTGGCAGCCGTGCATGTGTTGTCATTTGTCTGCCGGCTCATGTTGCTGGTGAGAGACGGCAGCAGGCCTGCAGCTACTACACTTCTCCTGGATCCTCTCTCAGCTTTTGCAAATCCTGGGCCAGATGGGTGTTAAGCTCCATAAAAAAGAGGCCTGGCTCTGGATCCTGCAGGACGCCCCACCCTGGAGGTTGGAGGCAGTGAGGGAATGACATGGGTTTAGTCCATCCTGCAGGTTCTGGCTTGTCCTTACTGTCCCCACTGTCTTAATCAGCTTGGGCTACTGTAACAGAATATGGAGTGGGTGGCTTAAACCACACACATTTATTTCTCACTGTTCTGGAGGCTGGAAGTCTGAGATCAGGATGCCAGCATGGTCAAGTTCTCAGTGAGGGCCCTCTTCCTGGTTTACAGATGCCTGCTTTCTTGCTTTTCCTTCCAGGATCATCTCTCTGTGTCTCTTTTTACAAGGGCACTAATCCCATCCATGAGGGCTTCAGGCTTATGACCTAATCATCTCCCAAATGCCCCACTTTCAAATACCATCATATGGAGGATTAGGCTTCAACATATGAATTTCAGAGAGTGCACAAAATTCAGTCCACAGAATCCCCTTTGCATTCATCTTTCCTTCTATGCTACCTGACTTGCAAATTTCAACTTCCAGCACTGGACACGGAGAAACAGCCTTGTAGAAACTAGTGCCTACAATTGCATAAGATGAAATCCCTATGATAAATTCATGTGGATGTGTGCATGTAAGGCTATCCTAGTGGTTCTGCCTTTCTGATCAAATTCTGACTGCATCAGCAGGAACACATGGAGGGGAGGACGGTGTGAAGGGCTAGCACCCTTGCTCTGTGGGTGCAGTCATGGGTCCTCTGCTACATCCAAAGATGGACCAGACTGAGTCAGGCCAGTTCTCTCGGGGTACCTAAAGAACTAGAACTGAGAGAGTCACTCTCTGTTGGTGCAGAGGCTGTAAGAGGTAAAGTTGGGGTGCTGTGGGGAACTGTATTAGTCTGCAATGGCTGCTGTAAGAAAATACCAAAGACTGGGAAGCTTAAACAACAGAAATTGATTTCCTCACAGTTCCAGAGGCCCTAAGTCAAAGATCAAGGTGTCAGCTGGGTTGCTTGCTTCTGAGGTCTTTCTCTTTTGTGTACAGATTACTGCCTTCTCCCTGTATCCTTATGTGGACTGTCCTCTGTGCACATACATCCCTGGTGTCTCTTCCTCCTCTTATGAGGACACTAGTCATACTGGATTAGGATCACCCTAACAGCCTCATTTCAACTGAGTGGGCTCTTTAAAGGCCTTATCTCCAAATGCAGTCACATTCTGAGGTACTGGGGGCTAGGACTTCCACCATATGAATATTTGGGGACACAGTTCAGCCCATAACACTGGCTATTAGTGGGCAAGTGTGGTAGATATACTTTTTGCCATCTGGAGAAAGTCTGATTGCGGAGAAAGTCGGACTGCAGAGAAAGAGAAGAATGTAGCAGACACTCAGAGAGCCATGGAACTGATACACTATATAGAGAAGACCACAGCCTTTGGGATGGAAGGAACCCAACTTTGTAAGGAGAGCCATTCACAACTGCCTCTGTAGATAACTCGTGACACAGCTCATAGGAATTTATCACTCCCAGCATACAAACTGTCTGACGGTTTGCCCTGCAGCATGGTCAGGCTTCAAGGCTGTTTTCCCAGCTGCAGAGCTCACAGGTGTCTGTGCATGAGTCTATTGTAGCTAGAGCATCTCCCCAGGCATGAGGCAGGGGCTGATATCGGGATCAGTCAAAATAGCTCTACTAGCAACAGCAAGACACCTTTTTTCCTATTATTATTTAAAATTATCTATGACTTTTTTCTCCCTTCTAGTGCTATAAATGGAAAAAAGATTTCTAGAAAGTTCTTTGTATGTTTTAGACATTCCTTTCATAACCTACAAGCTAACTGTATATTAATAAACTATTACCTCCATTCAATCACATGCCAAACTCACAGAAGCCCAATGACTTTTCAGTAACTTGTGCCAATGAACCAATCCATGTTTATTGAGCTCTGATTATAAATGAAGCTCAGCAGTAGGGAATACAAGAGATTAAAAGATGGTGAGGACAAGCTCCTCACTCTCAAAAATCTTACCATCTAGATGAGCTCAGGGACCAAGGCACTGAAATAGCCATGTACACCTCAGAGTCAAGGTCAAAGCATAATTTTAGTTTTGATTCAGTCCCTTGGCCAGAGAAGCAGAAGTGTCAAATTATAGCCATGAACAAGCACTTAAGTAGCTTAGCTTTGTCTATAGGAGGGTCTCTGGACAGCTGGGCAAATTCACAGCCTTTACTCTTCTAGTGTTTACTTCTTCTATGCATTTTTTGTGAATTCTAAAACAATGTGGCTATGTCACAGAAATGGAAGTCACCAGTTTGGTTTGCTAGCGTACTGCTTATGTACAAGTTGCTTTGGATTTCTTTTATGTCTGGGCCCTGGGTGGCCCTCAGTTCTGCCCATGGCAGTAGCTGACAGTGCTCTGTGGTTGTAGGAATATTTGGAAGGAGCAGAAAAGAGGTACAGTTAGAATGAGTGGGACTTGTCTGGTGGGTTGACTACTGATATAGTTCAGTGTCTGGTTACTGCTTTGAACATTTAGGTGAAAAATATCGTGCTGACCTATCCAGCACAGCCTCTGCGTAAAGAACACTTCACAGAGTAGTGAAGTGCAAACACACAAGGCAATAATTATATATTATAACACACACCTTATTGGTTCTGTTTCTGTGAAGAACCTTGATACATCTTCTAAGGAAATTTCTCAAATGTCCCATCCAAGAAGTGTTCCTAGATAAAATCTAGGATGCCCCGTTAAATTGAAATTGCAGATGTATCACAAATAATTTCTTATAAGTATGTCTCATGCAATATTTGGGACATACTTATAATAAAAAGTTGTTTATTGTTCATCTCAAATTCAAATTTAGCTGTGGGTCTTGTATTTTTATTTGCTAATCTGGCAACCCGACATCTACGCACTGCTGTTTTTGTAACATCTGCCGGAGCTACATGCCACAGCCATCACTGCCTGCAAGGGAGGCTGGGAAATGTAGTGCTGTTAACCAAGAACATTGTTGCAGTCAAGAACATAGGAGTTTTGGTAATAAGGAAGATGGAGATGATGAATAATGGATATTGGGTGGGCAACTCCTATAAAGTCCAGGTGACCCTTTTACCCATGTGAGATGGGTATAAGTCTATATTGATAATATTATTAGCAGCTATCCCATATTAGGTTCTTACTTTGTGTCATGAACCATGCTAAGACCTTTACATACAGCTTCTCATTTAATCTCCACAACAACATTATTGCTACCCCCATTTAACAGATTAGAAGCCTTATCCGATGGCTCAGGCTAAGAGAGATTTAGTTGTTTGAGGTCACACAGCTAGTAAGTTGCTGAGTTAGGGCTAGAATCCACAATGATGTGATTTCAAAGCTGATGCTTTTGATATTTTTTTCCCAACAACAATTCTGCATGCCTACCATGTGCCAAGCACTAGAACAAAGTATTGAGTTATTAGAGTAAACAAAGAAGACAGTCTTTGCCATCAAGGAGCTTACTTCCCATTATCGAGGCCTTTGGGAGGAGGTCATAAGGGTGAGGTCCTAATTCGATGAAGTAGTATTTTTATAAAAAGAGGAAGAGACAGCCTGGCGTGGGGGCTCATGCCTGTAATCCCAGCACTTTAGGAGACTGAGGCGGGCGGATCATGAGGTCAAGAGATCGAGAACATCCTGGCCAACATGGTGAAGCCCCGTCTCTACAAAAAAAAAAAAAAAAAAAAAAAAAGCTGGGTGTGGTTGCAGGCACCTGTAGTCCCAGCTACTTGGGAGGCTGAGGAGAATCGCCTGAACCTGGGAGGCAGAGGTTGCAGTGAGCTGAGATCACGCCATTGCACTCCAGCCTGGTGACAGAGCGAGACTCCGTCAAAAAAAAAAAAAAAAAAAAAAAAGGAGGAAGAGACACCAGAGACCTTCCTCTCTCTCTCTACATGTGCAGACAGGAAAGGCCATGTGAAGACAAAGCAAGAAGTCAACTCTCTACAAACCAGGAAGAGAACCCTCACTGGAAACCAACCCTCATAGCACCTTGATCATGGACCTCCAGTTTCCAGAACTGTGAGAAAATAAATGTCTCTTGTTGAAGCCACTCAGCCTATGGTATTTTGTCATGGGAGCCCCAGAAGACTAATATACCCCCACTATTGATAGAGAGAAACATAAATAAAAATCAGTAAATATGGAACAAATAAGTAGTGAAAAGAATCAGAGGTCATGGGGTACTAAGGATGGTGTCAGCTCTTTAGAAAGGAATCTCAACACACTGAGATGTGGCAATTGGGCAGAGACTTGAGGGGTGCAAGGGAATGAGACACGATGTCTGGGCAGGAATGCTCCAGGCAGAGGGAGCTCAGAGTCCTCCAGCAGGAGCCTGCACTGTGCCTGGAGAGGGAGAGCACAGGGCAGAGTGGCGGGAAATGAGGATGGAGAGTCAGGGCCAGGTCATGTGTGAAAGCCCAGGGTTCTAAGTATGATGGGAAGCCGCGGGGGAATGACATGGTCTGAACTTCATTTCTGTAAGATCAATAACTCTGGCTGCTGTGTAAAAAACCGAACCATAAGCAGAGGACAGTGGGAGTCGAGAGACCAGTCAGGAGGCCACACCAGTAGGGCAGATGAGAGAGGATGTAGCTTGAAATAGCCTGATAGATGTGGGGGTGGTGGAAAGTAGCCAGATTTCAGGATATATTTAGAGAAAGAACAGTCAGTAAAGAATCTGAGCAACTGGAAGGAATGAATTGTCATTTACTTAGATAGATTCATGTTCAGCGATGGAAATCAAGAGCTCTGGGCATTGGTGGGGGACCTTAAAGGGATCCCTCATAAGTGCCACCCCTCTTCTCTGCCTGAGAAATAAAAGAAAGACTAGAGATAGACACTGAAATATTACTTTTACTACTGATAGAGGACAACTGGGGGTAGCGGCTTAGAGTGGGATCAAATCACCCCCTAACCAAACTCCAGAATTAAGCAAACTTACCTCTCGGCCCCAGGCAATGCTGTCCAGGTTGAGCTCCTCAGTGAATCTCAGAGCACAGAAGAGAACAAGTGTTCTCTGCTCCCAAGTGAGCATGCCCAGACTTTACTCATCAGAACCCCCGAGGCAGTGGAGTGAGTCAAGGGCAGAGTGAGGCCTAGAGTTCCATGAATTGAACTCCTTTCATAAGAAGAGGACACCAGGAATGGACGAGACACATTTTCTGCTAATAGATGTGTTACGTTTGAGGCCCTTCATATGTCCAGGTGGAGTAAGGAGTTGGCTAGATAAGCCTGGTGCTCAGGGGAATGATTGGATTGATAATAAAGATTTGGGGTCATCAGTGTACTTTTGTTAATTAAAGGCATGGGACTGGGTGAAAGAACATACAAAGAAGAGGCCTGGGCACTCTGAGACTTAAAGGCCAGAAGGATGCTTAGAGAAGAATCCAGCAAAAGGGAAGACATACCCAGTGGGGTAGGAGGACAGCTGAGAGCTCAGTGAGGAAACTTTCAAGAAACGGAAAGCAATTCACCGTGTTGAATGCTGCTGGGAAGTACAACTATGGTCATTGGATCTGCAAGAGGGAGTTGTTGCATAATGAAGAATTTATCTGGTCATTATCTCTGTTCCTTGGAGGGAGATTCTAAATTTTGGGAATTTCCCAAGCAATAGGAGTGTCTTTGCTATTCATGGTGGGCCCTGATAGTTTTTGCTAATGAAATGACTCCAGATGACAAGAGGAGGAGGAGGGCCAGCACGGTGGCTCATGCCTATAATTCCAGCACTTTGGGAGGCTGAGACAGGTGGATTGCTTTGAGCTCAGGAGTTTGAGACCAGTGGATCACTTTGAGCTCAGGAGTTGGAGACCAGCCTGGCAAATGTGGCAAAACCCTGTCTGTACTAAAAATATAAAAATTAGCTGTGTGTCTTGGCACATGCGTATAATCCCAGCTACTCAGAAGGCTGAGGCTGTATAATTGCTTCAGCCTGGGAGGTGAGGTTGTAGTGACCCGAGATTGCACCACTGCACTCCAGCCTGGGTGACAGAGTGAAACTCTGTCTCAAAAAGAAAAAAAAGAGGATGGGGCTGGTCATGCCAGGAAAACCATGTGATTAGTGGGTTTGGTCTTTGAGCCACATGGTATCAAGCTGATCTCCAGACACTTGGAGTGTGAAGAGGGGCTTGAGTTGAGATTGATTTCAATCACGTAGCCAATGATTCAATCAATCATGCCTCTGTAATGAAACCTCAATAAAAACTCTGGCCACTGAAGTGTGTTGGAGCTTCCTGGTTGGTGAACACATCTATGTGCTGGGAGAGTGGGGCACCCTGATTCCTTGGGGATGAAAGCTTGTGTTCAGGATCCTCCCATATCTTACCCTATGTGTCTCTTCATTTGACTAGCCCTGATTTATATCGTTGATAATAAAACCATAGCTATAAATATAGCACTTGGTGGAAATCTGTGAGTTGTTCTAGTGAATTATCCAACCTGAGGGTCATGGGAATCTCTGAATTTGTAGCCAGTTTGTCAGAAGGGCAGATGGCCTGGAGACCCCCAAACTTGTGCCTAGTGTTAGAAGGGAGGGCAGTCTTATGAAGGACTGAGCCCTTAACTTGTGGGGCATCTGGGCTAACTCTGGGTGGTCAGTGTCAGGATGCATTGTAAGGCCCCCCAGTATTGCAGGGGCCCACTAGTAGCATTGATGAGTGTGATTTCAGTGGTGTGGTAGGAATGGAAGTTGATTATATTTGTTTTAGAAGAGAATATGAGGAAGTAAGTGGAGACACAAGTATAGACAACTGCTTTGGGAGTTTTTCTGGAAAGGGGAACAGAAAAATACGATGCTAGAATGACAGTAAACTGCCCTCTAATGTTGATTATTGATTTATAAGGGTGTAAGGCCCTAGATAGGCATTTGTAAAAGTTATTTTGAAAGAGCAGGTATGTATTATGTGGTGTTATGGTTTGAATATGGTCCCTCCAAAATTCAGATGTTGCCAATGTATTAAGAGGTGGAGACTTTAAGAGGTGATTAGGCCATGAGGACTCTTCCCTTGCAAATGGGATTAAGGTCCTTATAAAAGAGGCTTTACACAGCATTCAGTCTCTTGCTCGTCTGACTTCTGCCACAAGAGGACACAGCATTTGTCCTCTCCAGAGGAGGCAGCTCTCACCAGACAACCAAACCTGCTAGCACCTGTATCTTGGACTTTTCATCTTCCAGAATTATGGGAAGTGAATTTCTGTTCTTTTTTGTCTAGGTAACTAGACAATTACCTAGTCTGTGGTATTTTGTTATAGCAGCACAAAATGGACTAAGATGTGGCCATGGTTAACAAGTTGTATGGAAATTGTATCCCACAGTAGGCAGAGAAGTAATGTTGAAATATTTGAATGGCACAGTTGATCTGAGGACAAAGAAAGGCAAGGAACATGGCAGGGAAAGCAATGGGAAGAAACTGAGCCAAAGGCGGTGGTGCCTAGGGAGGTGGGGGCCTGGATGACTAATGAGTGGGGCCACCACTGCCCTGAGGGATTCCAAGTATCCCAAAGACCCCAGCAGGAGAATCATTTTACAAATTGATTGATGAGGCTTCTCAGCATTAACTGCCTGTACAGTGACTGAGAGCAGGCAATGTGTACTCCATGAATTGTGAGTTTATGCCTTTTTTTTTTTTTTGAGATGGAGTCTCACTCTGTGACTCAGGCTAGAGTGCAATGGCATGATCATGGCTCACTGCAACCTCTGCCTCCTGGGTTCAAGCAATTCTTCTGGTTCAGCCTCCCGAGTAGCTGGGATTAGAGGTGTGCATCACCACGCTCGGCTAATTTTTGTATTTTTAGTAGAGACAGGTTTCGCTGTGTTGGCCAGACTGGTCTCAAATTCCTGATGTCAGGTGATCTGCCTGCCTTGGCCTCCCAAAGTATTGGGGTTACAGGCGTGAGCCACTGTGCTTGGCCTGAGTTTATGCCTTTCTACTTAGTATTCCCAGCACAGTATTTGGCATAGAGTACATGTTCAATAAGTGCTTAATGAATGAAGCTTTCCTGAGGATACCCACTTTGTCTAGTTTGAACCCCAAATTCTTCCAAACTGTGCCTTCAGATCACCTAAATATCAACTTGGCAAGGAAAGTGCTGGTGAGCCAGAACTGGACAGTCACCTGCTGGGGACTTTTGAAAAGGAACTCCTGAATGTAGATGGCCCCTCTTGTCCTTGTCAACATAAGATTCTTTGGCTCCATGACCTCTAAAGAGGCTACGAGAATAATAATAATGACAATAATTACAATATCAATAATTAACACATAATTCTTACAATGTCCTAGGCACTGAGGTAAACAATTGGCATCATTATTTCATTTAATAATACCTATGAGGTGGGTGCCATTACTAACTCCATTTAACAGATGAGGAAACTGAGGTATAGAAAGAACAAGTGACTTGCTCAAGGTTGTCCATGTGTACATGATAGTCTTGATATGTAGCTTGTCTTAGCCACTAAGCCAGTGGTTTCCCAGACTTGCCTGCAAGGTGGAATCACTTGGAGAGCTCTGAAACCTCTCCATACCCAGGTTCTACCCAGGGTCAATTAAATTGGAATGGCCAGGGTGGGAGTGGGCATCAGTATTGTTTAAAGATTCCCAGCCGATTCCAATGGGCAGTAAACTTTCGGAATCACCCATGAGGCTATGTTGCCTCTCAAATGAAGGTAAAAGAGGCCAGTTGCTGAGCTGGGGTGGACAGGGGTGACCTCTCATCCTTTCCTGCCCTCAGGTACCAGGGCAGAGTGTCTCAGGTGACAGCCATGTGAACAGAGAGAATGAGATTCTTTATTTGTAACTTTTAATTACAAGTTCTTATTCCTACCCCACAGACTCAGGTGAGAGGGCAAGCCAAACTATTATAGAAAAAAAGGATTAAATGGCTATAAGGTTTATTATTGTTATTTTTGTCATCATTCTATAATTTAGATCAGCCAGAACAGTTGTGTTCATTTTAATAAGCCAATGAGTACCATGGGAGAGCCGCCTCCAATGATTCGTGATGATGTATTACGTTCAAAGTTAACTGCCTAGGCAAAAAAAAAAAAAAAGGCACTGCCCTCACTTTCCCAGTCATCACCCCCACAGGGAAATTCCTCAGCCTTAAGCTGAATATTCCTGCTGAGTATTTAACCTATAAACTCAAAAGCCTGGTAATTTACAGAGAGTCTAGCAGGAGAGATCATAAATGACTCTCCCTCTCCATCGGGCGTATGCGTGGAGGAATTTGAAGAATAGGGCCTGTCTTGATTTTGTGGTGTAGCAAGGCCAGGCCATCGATTACAGCCAATAAAACAAAGCAGACAGCCCAAGGGTTGTGGAAGGCACAAAGCAGTTGGCACCATCTGCAATATTTCAGGGCATGGAGTACAGAACAACTTTGGAGTGAGGGTGAGAGGTTATGTTCTAGATGATGGGGCACATAGAAATAATGCATTGTTTGCAAAAAGCACATGACAGCCATGCTCAGGGGCAGGGCGGGGAATGAAGGCACGAAGCAGCCTGTCACAGAACAGGGTGCCTTTTTCCGCTCAAGGCACCTGTGTCTGCCTTCTTTTATAGCGGGGAGAGGGTGCTGTTATGTTTCTGGAACCTTCTCTAGCAAAGTTAAGAATGGCAGCAGGGGCAAGGGAAAGGGTGGAGTATATGAGGCATATATATGTGAAAGGAAGACTTGCCTTTCAGGATGAAGGTGGGGGGATGTTACCTATTAGCATCTGCATTTGTTTCTTATTGCTGCCTAACAAATTATCACACATTTAGCAGCTTAAAACAACACCTGCTTATGAACTCACTGTTCTGAGGTCAAAAGGTTGGGTGCAACATGTCTGGGTTCTCTATTCAGAATTTTGCAAGGCTGAAATTGAGGTGTTGACCAGATACTGGTCTTGTTAGAAGGCATGACTGAAAAAGAATCCACTTCCAAAGCTCATTTGTGTTGTTGGCACAATTCAGTTCCTTATAGTTGTAGGACTGGGGTCCCATTTCCTGGTTGGCCATCAGCCGATGGCCACCTGCGTTCCTTGCCTGTGACCTCCTCCATCTTCAACGGCAGAAATGGGGAATGTTTTTTCACAATTCAATCTCTCTTGCTAAGAATAGTCCTGGCTCTTAAGAGTTCACTTGATTAGGTGAGGCCCACCGACAGTGATCTCCCTTTCTTGAGGTCAACTGATTTGGGACTTTGGTTACAGTGACAAAATCTCATCACAGCTGCACCTAGATTCATGTTTGATTAAATAACTGGGAGAAAGGTGGTATACACCAAGGGACGGGACAATCTTGGGCACCATCTTAAAATTCTAACCCCGTCTCTACTAAAAATACAAAAATTAGCCGGGCATAGTGGTGGGTGCCAGTAAGCCCAGTTACTTGGGAGGTTGAGGCAGGAGAATCGCTTGAACCCGGGAGGCAGAGGTTGCGTGAGCCAAGACCATGCCATTGCACTCCAGCCTGGGTGACAAGAGCGAAACTCTGTCTCAAAAAAAAAAAAAAAAAAAAAATTCTGCCTACAGCAGCATCTTAAGCAAAGTTCCTAAAAACATACGAGTGAGTGTGAGCAGGGTATGGGCCCAATTTCTAGGCATATCCATAGCCCTCATTGTTCACTGCAATGCTTGGTCTGTGAGCCTAGCCTTAGCATGGTAATAAAGCCTTCATGCAGTGAATATTTGTTTTATCGATGGCTAATGGAAATGCTAACATCAACTCATCAAGGAGACCTAAGGCTGAACTTTCCACTGATTT
This sequence comes from Homo sapiens, assembly GCF_000001405.40. NCBI lineage: Eukaryota > Metazoa > Chordata > Mammalia > Primates > Hominidae > Homo > Homo sapiens. The sequence continues at coordinate 15,802,720 of NC_000006.12, forward strand.
ACTGCAGGCTCAGTGAGAAAGGAGAGCTGGCGCTGTTGGAGGAGGGGAAATACAGGAGCATCTTGCTGAAAGTAGCTTTATTCTACTGTCCATTTAGATGCTGCATATCACACGTTAAAACAACGAGCAAAATGTACCTGTTAGAGGACATTTTAAAAATACATCTTTTTAAAGGGAAATAACTATTAATTCTTGCTCTGATGAGGCAAAGACAGAGCCCACTAAGAGATGCAGAGTGTAGACCCTGCTGAGGAATGTGGCTCGCGTGATATGAAAGGCCAAAGCATAGAGTTTCGTGAGGAAGAAGCATAAAAACAAATCAAGGGTGGTTGAGTTGCCTAGAGAGGAGGAGGTAAGAATTGGAGAGGCTCCAAGGACATAACCCTGACAATGCCTATGGGATTTCCAAGCAGAGTGAAAATTATTGATATAAACATTGATTTATCTTTGAGTCACTCACATACTAAGTGCCAGACATTTGGCTGGATGCTGGAATACAAACATGTCCCCTTTCCTCCAAGAGCTCACAGTGGGAGAGACGAGGACAAGGGGGGAAAGTTGTAACGTCCAGGGCTCAGTGTAGGGAGGGCAATGCACTCAGGAGGTGGCATAGCCCGGAGGGTGCACCCAACTCCACCAAAGAGGGTGTGTCAGAAAAGCCTGAGCCCAGTGTCACAGGGGGACCAGAACAATTTGATACTTGTCCACCTTCAAGATATGTGCATCTCATAGGTAACAAGAATGCCTGGCCTAGTACCAGACTCCAAAGGAGCATTCAGGAAACACTAATCATCATCATCATCTCATACTGTGGTCCCTTCCCCCTCCCCGACATACCTTCTTAAAATTTTGAGTCTGGAAGGGGCTGTAGAGATGATCAAGTCAGATCTGCTCATTTTTGAGTGTGGAAACTAAGTGCTGCAAGGTGGACAGCCCAACCAAAGGCACACAGTTTGTTCATCACTGGTGTAGTTAGCACTCCTGTTTTCCAACCAGAGTGCTTTTTCAGTTGCTCTCAAATTTAAGCATGCATCAGAAGCACCTGGAGAGCTTGAGAAACCAGAGATTGCTGGGCCCTCCCTGCAGAGATTCTGATTTTTCAGTTAGTCTGGGTGGGGCCTGAGAATCTGCATTTCTTTCCTCCTTTTTCTTTTTTTGAGATGGGGTCTTGCTCTGTTGTCCAGGCTGGAGTGCAGTGGTGTGATCACGGCTCACTGCAACCTTAAACTCTTGGGCTCAAGCAATCCTCCCAACTCAGCCTCCTGAGTAGCTGGGACTACTGGGGTGCACTACCATGCCTGGCTAATTAAATTTTTTTAATAGTGAGTGGGTCTCCTTATGTTGCCCAGGCTGGTCTCGAACTCCTGGTCTCAAGTGATCCTCCCTCCTACGGCTACCAAAGTACTGGGACTAAAGGCATGAGCCACCATGGCCTGGCCAAGAATCTGGTCCAGGGGATGCTGATGCTGCGGGTGCTTTGAAAGCAACTGCTCTTTATTATGCTCTCTCATTTGCCTCTGTACAATGTGCTTGCAAAGGGTTAACAAAACATCAAATGGTTGGTAATTTTACAACGGACATTGACAAATGTGGCCTTGGAGGAAACTCACTAGAGTGAGGAATGGCTCCCCAGAGGAAAGGGCCAGAAGGTTTTCACCAGCGCGGTGAGTGGCGAGGATTTCAGGAAGATTGGAATTGAGGAGGAAGCCATTTGCCTGCCTACAACCTCCTGTATCCCCTTGTTGGTGACAGAACAAAAGATAAAGCAGTCAGCATTACCTGAAGTGACTTGGAGGTGATTAATACTCAGAGCTCCTGGAGCAGAAAGGTGGGCATGCAAGTTGCAATTAAGATGATAAAGAACGCAGCTTAGCAGCAAGCTGGGGTGCGAGGCTGGTGAGGAGGAGAGCTACTGCCTGTCTCTTGCTCTGCAGAGACTGCTTCTGAGATACACGCACGGGGTTTATGATGCTGCCAGGCTCATCAGGAGAGAGAAGAAAGGTAATTAGAAAGGTTATTTTCAAGACATGGGAGGTTTGTTTTGTTTTGTTTTTTTGTCTCCCTCCCTGGAAGGAAGGATGGAGACTCCAGCAGTTACTGATAATCATAGTGATGAGGATTTCAATGGGTGGCGGGTGGAAAAAGTGATCATGATTTGGTTTAAATTCAGACTGTGTCTAGCCTAGCTAGTAATTGATGGAAGGAAGTAAATGACCCGAAGGAGGCTCTCAGTGTGATTCATAAGTCTTATGTGAAATTCGAAGGCAGCACAGGTTATATACACAGGGCCAGCCCTACTACATGGAAGAAAATCATTTCCAGTGCCACTTTGCCTCCTATTTTTGTGCTGTTTCTGAACACCCTGACCTCTCTCCAGGGCTAGGTGGAAGCTCCGAGGCACCATAAAAATTCTTATTCTCCAAGCAAACTGCTGTAGGGTGCATTAACTAAATTCACACCAAATCAACAAATGGTGACTTAATGCCTCTATTTAGGTCACTGTCTAATTCTGACAAATAACCCTATAATGGTGGAAGGGAGGCAGAGAGGGGCAGAAGTTAGCAGCAGATGTGTGTATCCACCTGCCCTCAACATTTCTGCTTGAATGTCTAATTCGCATCTCACTTGCCATGGCCAAACCTGAACCCTACCTTTGCTGCTTGCCTAAGCCCACAGTGCTCCTCTTAGTCTTCTCCACTGCACGAAATGGGACTAGGTTTCACCTTTGAATCCTCTCAGGCAAATCCATCAGCAGATCTTTTTAGATTTACCTTCAAAATATACACTGAATTCAACCTCCTTTCACCTCTGTGCTCCCACGTTAATTTATTTTTTTTTGTTTTTTGTTGTTGTTGTTTTTAATTGTATTATTATTATACTTTAAGTTTTAGGGTACATGTGCACAATGTGCAGGTTTGTTACATGTGTATACATGTGCCATGTTGGTGTGCTGCACCCATTAACTCATCATTTAGCATTAGGTATGTCTCCTAATGCTATCCCTCTCCCCTCCCCCCACCCCACAACAGTCCCCGGTGTGTGATGTTCCTCTTCCTGTGTCCATGTGTTCTCATTGTTCAATTCCCACCTATGAGTGAGAACATGCGGTGTTTGGTTTTTTGTCCTTGCGATAGTTTGCTGAGAATGATGGTTTCCAGCTTCATCCATGTCCCTACAAAGGACATGAACTCATCATTTTTTATGGCTGCATAGTATTCCATGGTGTATATGTGCCACATTTTCTTAATTCAGTCTATCGTTGTTGGACATTTGGGTTGGTTCCAAGTCTTTGCTATTGTGAATAGTGCTGCAATAAACATACATGTGCATGTGTCTTTATAGCAGCATGATTTATAATCCTTTGGGTATATACCCAGTAATGGGATGACTGGGTCAAATGGTATTTCTAGTTCTAGATCCCTGAGGAATCGCCACACTGAATTCCACAATGGTTGAACTAGTTTACAGTCCCACCAACAGTGTAAAAGTGTTCCTATTTCTCCACATTCTCTCCAGCACCTGTTGTTTCCTGACTTTTTAATGATCGCCATTCTAACTGGTGTGAGATGGTATCTCATTGTGGTTTTGACTTGCATTTCTCTGATGATCAGTGATGATGAGCATTTTTTCATGTGCTTTTTGTCTGCATAAATGTCTTCTTTTGAGAAGTGTCTGTTCATGTCCTTCGCCCACTTTTTGATGGGGTTGTTTGTTTTTTTCTTGTAAATTTGTTTGAGTTCATTGTAGATTCTGGATATTAGCCCTTTGTCAGATGAGTAGGTTGCAAAAATTTTCTCCCATTCTGTAGGTTGCCTGTTCACTCTGATGGTAGTTTCTTTTGCTGTGCAGAAGCTCTTTAGTTTAATTAGATCCCATTTGTCAATTTTGGCTTTTGTTGCCATTGCTTTTGGTGTTTTAGACATGAAGTCCTTGCCCATGCCTATGTCCTGAATGGTAATGCCTAGGTTTTCTTCTAGGGTTTTTATGGTTTTAGGTCTAACATGTAAGTCTTTAATCCATCTTGAATTAATTTTTGTATAAGGTGTAAGTACAGGATCCAATTTCAGCTTTCTACATATGGCTAGCCAGTTTTCCCAGCACCATTTATTAAATAGGGAATCCTTTCCCCATTGCTTGTTTTTGTCAGGTTTGTCAAAGAACAGATAGTTGTAGATATGCGGCGTTATTTCTGAGGGCTCTGTTCTGTTCCATTGGTCTATATCTCTGTTTTGGTACCAGTACCATGCTGTTTTGGTTACTGTAGCCTTGTAGTATAGTTTGAAGTCAGGTAGCATGATGCCTCCAGCTTTGTTCTTTTGGCTTAGGATTGACTTGGCAATGCAGGCTCTTTTTTGGTTCCATATGAACTTTAAAGTAGTTTTTTCCAATTCTGTGAAGAAAGTCATTGGTAGCTTGATGGGGCTGGCATTGAATCTATAAATTACCTTGGGCACTATGGCCATTTTCACAATATTGATTCTTCCTACCCATGAGCATGGAAAGTTCTTCCATTTGTTTGTATCCTCTTTTATTTCATTGAGCAGTGGTTTGTAGTTCTCCTTGAAGAGGTCCTTCACGTCCCTTGTAAGTTGGATTCCTAGGTATTTTATTCTCTTTGAAGCAATTGTGAATGGGAGTTCACTCATGATTTGGCTCTCTGTTTGTCTGTTATTGGTGTACAAGAATGCTTGTGATTTTTGCACATTGATTTTGTATCCTGAGACTTAGCTGAAGTTGCTTATCAGCTTAAGGAGATTTTGGGCTGAGACAATGGGGTTTTCTAGATGTACAGTCATGTCATCTGCAAACAGGGACAATTTGACTTCCTCTTTTCCTAATTGAATGCCCTTTATTTCCTTCTCCTGCCTGATTGTCCTGGCCAGAACTTCCAACACTATGTTGAATAGGAGTGGTGAGAGAGGGCATCCCTGTCTTGTCCCAGTTTTCAAAGGGAATGCCTCCAGTTTTTGTCCATTCAGTATGATATTGGCTGTGGGTTTGTCATAGATAGCTCTTATTATTTTGAGATACGTCTCATCAATACCTAATTTACGGAGAGTTTTTAGCATGAAGGGTTGTTGAATTTTGTCAGAGGCCTTTTCTGCATCTATTGAGATAATCATGTGGTTTTTGTGTTTGGTTCTGTTTATATGCTGGATTACGTTTATTGATTTTCGTATGTTGAACCAGCCTTGCATCCCAGGGATGAAGCCCACTTGATCATGGTGGATAAGCTTTTTGATGTGCTGCTGGATTCGGTTTGCCAGTATTTTATTGAGGATTTTTGCATCAATGTTCATCAAGGATATTGGTCTAAAATTCTCTTTTTTTGTTGTGTCTCTGCCAGGCTTTGGTATCAGGATGATGCTGGCCTCATAAAATGAGTTAGGGAGGATTCCCTCTTTTTCTGTTGATTGGAATAGTTTCAGAAGGAATGGTACCAGCTCCTCCTTGTACCTCTGGTAGAATTCGGCTGTGAATCCATCTGGTCCTGGACTTTTTTTGGTTGATAAGCTATTAATTATTGCCTCAATTTCAGAGCCTGTTATTGGTCTATTCAGAGATTCAGCTTCTTCCTGGTTTAGTCTTGGGAGGGTGTATGTGTCGAGGAATTTATCCATTTCTTCTAGATTTTCTAGTTTATTTGCATAGAGGTGTTTATAGTATTCTCTGATGGTAGTTTGTATTTCTGTGGGATCAGTGGTGATATCCCCTTTACCATTTTTTATTGCATCTATTTGATTCTTCTCTCTTTTCTTCTTTATTAGTCTTGCTAGCAGTCTATCAATTTTGTTGATCTTTTCAAAAAACCAGCTCCTGGAACCACGAACCAGGAGGGAGGTGATTGGATAGTGAGTGAGTTCTCATGACAGCTGATGGTTTTAAAGTGTGGCACTTTCTCATTCTTGCTCACACTCTCTCTTGCTGCCTTGTGAAGAAGGTACTTGCTTCTCCTTTGCCTTCTGTCATGACTGTAAGTTTCCTGAGGCCTCCACAGCCATGCAGAACTATGAGTCAATTAAACCTCCTTTCTTTATAAATTACCCAGTCTCTGGTAGTATCTTTATAGCAGTATGAGAAGACTAATACAGGGCAAATGAGACCTCCGAGCACATTTCTAATGATGATGGTAAAAAGGACCAGTACTTACCAAGTGCCTATACTGTGCCGAGGACTGTTTATTTTCTTCTTAACCTTCTTAGTAATCCTTTGAATCTTTATTTTGTAACAAGAGGAAACAGGAAGCATAGAAAAGTTTAGGAACTTTTCCAAGGTCATTTGGTGGTAAGTAGTGGAGGCAGGATTTGAACCCAGATGGCTGGGCTCCAGAGCCTTCCCACACAGGCTGACAGATTCTGTCCTGGGTCTGTGCATATAAACCATTCCCCATCCCTGATCCCCCTGTCATTCTCACCACAAGGGCTTTGCCTTTGTCTGTCTTTTTTTTGTTTTTATGTTTGTTTGTTTGTTTTTTTACCTGAAACATCCAGAAGAGTGTCTGGCGCTGAGTGGAAAATTACTTATGTTGAATAAATGAAGGAAGCAGTGAAAGTTTCAAGAGGGAATTTTTATATCATCTAATTAAAATGTCCCCTTTGAGCCAGTAAGTCGTTAACAAATGTTACCACCACAAATGTCTAATGTGAAAAAGAGTTGGCCTGTAAGTTTTTGACTGTATAGAAGCATGAAACAGACACTTATATTTATACAAGGGGAAATATATTGCATCTAGAACTCTGTAGTATTGTTCTTTCTGACACATTTTAGCATCTGGAAAGGACAGAGCATTAATGAGGGCCAGCAGAGCAGATGCAGGGCTGAAACACACCGAGGAAAGTGCTATGAATATTCATACGTAATGCACATAGAAATGTTTGTGTGTGTACACAAATGTCAGTGTCCATGTACAGTGTTTGTACATAAGTGTGTGTATTATTCAGGGTCTAGTCAGGAAACAGCATCCATGCTAGTTACTTTAACAGAGATAATTTACTATAGGCAATTGATTAAACAGCTGTTGAAAGACAGGAAAAACAAAAGTGTTAATGAATGAACACAGAGATACTCACTGGAGGAGGCCACTGGAACCTCTAGCACTGGGAGAATGAAGGGGAGAGTTTGGGTTTATTGGAAACCAAAAGCTTGGATGGAGGCTTCACATGAATGACAGATCTCCAGGCAGAGGACACTGTCTAACTGCTGCTGGCACCCCCAGAGCTTGGAGGAGGAGCCCCTGGAACTGGGACTTAGAGAAGGGGCTGCTACGCGTGTGCCTCCCAGGACAGCACTGTGAACCAGGTTCCAGGACAGTGAAAAGCAGCTGGAAATCAGAGCCACCTGTCACTGGAACCTACGTGCAGGTGCCAGGATTGGGGGCTGTTCCTTGGGTGCTGCTGACAAGAATGGCATCAGGTCCCTTGTTCCGCTCCCACCTTCTAAACCTCTTCCTGTGCCTGCTACTGGTTGCTTAAGAGGGAAACAGGGAGGCAGCTGGCAAAGGAAAGAGGGAGTTTGCCAAGTTCTGGCCCCAGGATCACTAAACAGATTGAGGAAGGAGAATTTAGAGGTGAGAGACGACATTTAATAACAGACAGGCAAAGGTCCTTTTCCCATGCGGATTATCCTCACATAGCCTTTATGGCAGAGCGAACATTTATTCAAACCTAAATCATGCACCAAGCTGTTCATCACCCATCTCACTGGAAGTTTCCATGTCAAATAATAGCTTTTCCTACTCCAGTCCTCACGAAGGTGTGGCTACCTATTCTCTATTTTCAACAACGTAACAACTCTAATTCAGTTAAATAACAGTAAAATAGCTAACATTTATTGATTATTTACTGTGTGTTAGGAACATAATATTTATACGTATTATCTCATATAATCCTCATTATAACTCTATCAGATAGGTATTATATTTATCTCCAACTTACAGATGAGAAACTGAGGCACTTTAAAATTAAGTAATTGACCCAATTTTATAAGTTGATATGTGGCCAAGGTCCAGGACACATGTTCTTGTCTTTTCCACGTTACTGCCTCTAACCATCTATTGAATAGCTCTGACCTCAGCTGACTTGGGCATTAGAATAGAGCTGTGGTTAGAATAAGTGCTTTAGAACCAGATAAAGCTGGTTTTAAGTCTGAGCTACTGTTCTTGCTTGCTAAATGGCATTGGAGAAATTGATTAAACTTACTAAGCCTCCACTTCCTTATCATGAACAAGGGAATAAAGATTGTGTCTGCCATAGAGATTATTGTTAAGAATTAAATGAAATAATTCTTATAAACCACATAGTGCAATTCATTACACATAACAAGTGCTAATAACAGGTAGCTATTTATAATGGATAATTACCCATTATTTTGCAATGTAAAATTGAGAAATTCTTTGTACTTCAGTTGCGTTACCTGAGAAAGGTGGTAGTTTGTGGCCCACCTCTAAGGTAGACTTCTAGACAATTTTTGGAGGGGACCATTCAGCAGCTCCAGCCTAACAGGCTCCCCCTGGCTGTAAAGGAGCTGGAGGCAGAAGCCACCTCCCAAGGGAAAGAGAGAAGCAGTGTGGCAGCAACAGGTGGGGGGGTGGGCACCTGTGGCAGGTCAGGTCTGCAAGATGCAGAGTGGCAAGAACTAGCCAGGACACAGCAGATGACTCTACTATCCTTTCTCACATGGGAAGAAGTTTCATGGAACTCCCCTCCTCCATCCTGCAGTGGTAGGCTGAATGCTGAAGTCTGAATTCATAGAACCCGTGAATGTGTTACCTTACCTGGTAAAAGGGACTTTGAAGATATGAGTAAGTCAAAGATCTTGAGATGGGGTGATGATTCTGGATTATCTGGGTGGGTTCAATGTCATTACAGGCTACTTATAAGATGAGGCAGGAGATTGGAGGAAGAGAAGGGAATGTGATGATGGAGTCACAAATTGGAGTGACGAGGTCACGGGCAAGGCCAGCAACACAGGCAGCCTCTAGAGGAGGCAAAGGAATGGATACTCCCCTGGAATCCTCAGAAGGAATTAGCCCTGTCAGTTCTTTTTTATTTGATGGGATCTCCCTATATTTCCCAGGCTAGCCTCAAATTTCTGGGCTCAAGGGATCCTCCTACCTCGGCCTCCCATGTAGCTGGGACTATAGGCATGAACCACTGTCCCTGGGTCTCAACACTTTTATTTTAGCTCCATAAGACTCAGTTTGGACTTCTAATCTCCGGAATTGTAGAAGAATAAATTAGTGTTGTTTCAAGCCACTAAGCTAGTGGCAGTTTATTACAGTAGCAATAAGAAACTGATACACTGCCCAACTGACTTAGTAACTCCCTCTTTACTCCTTTCTGTCTCTGTAGTTTGGTCATACCTATATTATAGCACACATCAGATCCAGTTGTGTTTATTTGCTTATCTCCTCTACTAGATAGACAGTGAAGAGGAGGGGCCCTAAGAGCCTCAGAGCCTATCAGAGGACTTAGTTCACAACAGGCTGCATAAATGTGGGTGAACTGAATTAATGTATAGATGGACAAGAGTGTCCCAAATTGTCTTAAATTTGTGACTGTCTTAACAGAGGCCTTCTTAAACTACCTGCCTTTGTTTAAAAGCATTAAAGATGGTTTTTAAAAAAACATAATCTGAATTTATAGCCATGGAAGGGGTCCCTGATTCCTTTGGTGTCTATCTATCTGACTCTGGTCAACATAAAGATCAAAGCGATAATCTTCCACGAATGAGCTAAGACTACGGAGAAGGACAGGAAGGAGAGAGAAAATGCACAAAGCTATTTAGAAGAGGAAGTTTCAGTACAAATATAATTGAAGCAAGAAGTGATCAGAATATGCAGCAACTGTTATTTTAAGGAAAATAAATTCATGAGATTCAAACTTCAGCATGATGGAGAAAAAAGCGAAGTTTTTTACATTTTCCACAAGATGTTCAGCAAGACGAATCTGTCAAGAAATGGGGGGAAAGGTCACACAGAAGCCAATGGAAAGTGGTGGATGGAATTCATTGTGCCACACGGCATCATCTCAATTAAAATATAACTGGGAGATTGTCAATTAGGCTCACATCTTTTCAGAATCTTCTATATGGAACATTGACAGGGGTTGTTTATTTGATAACAGAACCTCTCAAGTCTTCCCCTTAGGTTTGCAGTCTGAGATAATTAATGTGTGAAATGGTCTATTGACTTTATTTTGACAGGAGCTGTCTCCGATATGTGGGAATTGGATAGTAAACAAAGCATTGAGTTCCCTCGGGATGTCCAGGGTTTGTGTTATTTTCTTGGATGGTGTTAGATCTGGGGTGCTGTCCATGCTACACCAGGGAACAATCACTTGGAGACCAGAGTCCTGGGGGAGGACTCACCAGGATGAGGTCTTAGTCATGGATGATGGGCAGGTGGACGGAACATGGTACAGGGAGTGGGACCCAGAAAAATCAAGTTCACAAGGAAGTGGTGGGTGAAACCCCATCTCTACTAAAAACACAAAAAAATTTAGACGGGCGTGGTGGCAGGCGCCTGTAGTCCCAGCTACTTGGGAGGCTGAGGCAGGAGAATGGCGTGAACTCAGGAGGCGGAGCTTGCAGTGAGTCGAGATCGCGCCACTGTACTCCAGCCTGGGTGACAGAGCGAGACTCCGTCTCAAAAAAAAAAAAGGAAGTGGTGGGTATGGTGATGAGCTAATAAATTAGCTAATAAATCCGTGGTGAGCTAATAAATTAGGTTGATGCAAAAGTAAGTGTGGTTTTTCACATTACTTTTTAATGGCAAAAACTGCAGTTACTTTTGCACCAACCTATTTGTGGAGGGGTTGCCGATTTCTATGGTAGGAATACTTCTGTCATGGCTGATTTCAACTGACGAGCAAAATTCTTAAAAATTAACAACCAGTTCTTGTTAGCCAGCACAAACCAGCTTCAGCATGCCACGGGGTAAGTGTATGCTTTTTTTAATTTATTTTTTTAATTGAGACAAAATATGCATATATAATTTACCATCTGTATTGCTCTGTTCTTGCACTGCTATAAAGAAATACCTGAGACTGGGTAAGTTATAAATAAAAGAGGTTTAATTGGCTCACAGTTCCACAGGCTGTACAAGAAGCATGGCTGGGGAGGTCACAGGAACCTGACAATCACGGTGGAAGGCAAAGGGGAAGCAAGCATGTCTTCCGTGGCTAGAGCAGGAGGAAGAGAGAGAGGAGGGAGGTGCTACACACTTTTTTTTTTTTTTTTTTTTTTTTTTTGAGACAGAATCTCGCTCTATCACCTAGGCTGGAGTGCAGTGGCGTGATCTCAGCTGACTGCAACCTCTGTCTCCCGGGCTCAAGCAATTCTCTGCCTTAGCCTCCCAAGTAGCTGGGATTACAAGCACCTTGACCACTATACCTGGCTAATTTTTGTATTTTTAGTAGAGATGGGTTTTCACCATCTTGGCCAGGCTGGTCTTTAACTCCTGACTTCGTGATCCACCTGCCTCAGCCTCCCAAAGTACTGGGATACAGGCATGAACCACCCTGCCCTGCCTTTTTGTTTGTTTGTTTCTTTGAGACCGAGTTTCCCTCTGTCGCCCAGGCTGGAGAGCAGTGGTGTAATCTCCACTGACTACAACCTCCGCCTCCCAGGCTTAAAGGGTTCTCCTGCCTCAGCCTCATGAGTAGCTGGGATTACAGGCATCCACCACCACGCCCAGCTAATTTTTGTATTTTTAGTAGAGATGGGGTTTCACCACGTTGGCCAGGATGGTTTTGAACTTACCTCAAGTGATCCGCCCGCCTCAGCCTCCCAAAGTGCTGGGATTACAGGCATGAGCCACCACACCCAGCCTGATTCCATATTTGACAATTGTGAATAGTACTACAATAAACATGGTAGGCAGATATCTCTTTGATATATTGATTCTTTTCTTTTGGACAACTATCTCAGTAGTGGAGTTGCTGGATCATATGGTAGTTCTAATTTTAGTTTTTTGAGGAATCTCCATACTGTTCTCCATAGTGGCTGTGCTAATTTACATTCCCATTAGCAGTGTATGAGAGTTCCCCTTTCTCCACATTCTTGCCAGCATCTGCTGTTGCTTGTCTTTTTCATACAAGTCCTTTTAACTGGGATGAGAGGATATTGCAAATTGGTTTTGATTTGCATTTCTCCATGATTAGTGATGTTGAACTTTTTTTTCATAGAGCTGTAGGCCATCTGTATGTCACTGTTGAGAAATATTCACATCTTTTGCCCATTTTTTAATTAGATTTTTTGTTGTTGTGGTTGCTATTAAGTTGTTTGAGCTCCTTATCTATTCTGGTTATTAATCACTTGTCAAATGGATGGTTTTCCAATATTTTCTTCCTTTCTATGTGTTGTCCCTTCAATGTCTTGATTGTTCATTTGCAGAAGAAACTTTTTAGCTTGATATAAACCCAGTTCTATATTTTTGCTTTGGTTGCCTGTGCTTTCGAAGTCGTATACAAAAAAAAAATTGCCAAGACCAATGTCCTGGAGCATTTCCCCAATGTTTTCTTCTAGCAGTTTCATGATGTCAGGTCTTAGATTCAAGTCTTTAATTCATTTTGATCTGATTTTTTTGTGTATGGTGAGAGATTCAGGGTCTACTTTCATTCTTGTGTACATAGCTCTCTAGTTTTTCTAGCACTGTTTCTTGAAAAGGCTGTCTTCACCCCATTGTATGTTTTTGCATCTTTGTCAAAGATGAGTTGGTTGTAAATTCATGGATTTATATCAGAGGTCTCTATTCTGTTCCATCGGTCTATGTGTCTGTTTTTATGCCAGTACCATACTGTTTTGGTTACTATGTCTTTGTAGTAAATTTTGAAGTCAGGTAAGTGTGATACCTCCAGCTTTGCTCTTTTTGCTTAGGATTACTTTAGCTATTTGAGTTTTTTTGTGGTTCCATATACATTTGAGAATTTTTTTTCTATTTCTGTGGAGAATGTCATTGGTATTCTGATAAGGATTGCATTGAATCTGTAAAGTGCTTTGGATAGTATTGTCATTTTAACAATATGAATTCCTCCAGCCCATGAGCACAGAGTATCTTTTAATTTTTTTATGTGAGTGCATGTTGTTAAAGGCAGGCATCAGGGGGATTACAGGATAGGCCAAAGCCCAAATTGAGAAATTGCAGAAATAGGTTGCAGGCAGGCCTAAAGCCTGAGTTTGTCTGGGAAACTGACCCAAAATTTAAAGGTCTTACAATAACATTCAGGAATGTGCTGTGGTTGTTACCAGTTTCTTGCATCTGACTGGCAAGTGGGCATGTGACTAGAGTCTCCAGAACTTCTAGAAAAGACAGGAGAATACATGCTGAGAATGAATAATAGTGGTGACCGGGCACGGTGGCTCATGCCTGTAATCCCAGCACTTTGGGAGGCTGGGACGGCCGGATCACATGAGGTCAGGAATTCGAGACCAGCCTGGCCAACATGGTGAAACCCCGTCTCTACTAAAATACAAAAATTAGCCAAGCCTGGTGGCAGGCACCTGTAATCCCAGGTACTCAGGAGGCTGAGGCAGGAGAATTGCTTGAATCTGGGAAGTGGAGGTTGCAGTGAGCCTTGATCGCACCACTGCACTCCAGCCTGGGTGACAGAGCAAGACTCTGTCTCAAAACAAAACAAAACAAAATACACACAAAACACACACACACACACACACACACACACACACACATAATGGTGACTGGTTTTTGATGTTCTACTCTGTGCCAGACATCATATTTATATGCATTACCTTCAGTCCTCCTGATAACCTTGTGACACAGAGGCTGTTATTTCCATTTCCTCGATGAGACCAGTAAGGTGGAGAGGGGCTTATCACCTGTCTGACATTGTATTGCTTGTGAGTAGCAAATGCTGGAATTGGAATCCAGATGTTTCTGATTCCAGAGTTGCTCTCTTCTGCTGCTGCTTTCCAGCCCATCCCATCAAGTGAGCTGGAAATGGGGGAGACTGATGGGGAGTGGGGATGGGTAAAGGAAAGGTGAGGGGTGGAGGGAGGGAGGGGTTGTACAAACTAACCCAGCCTCTTGATTTTCTTACCTGAGGGGAGATGTCTGATTGCAGAGGCCCTCACAGTCCCTGAGTTCTAATTCACTGCGTTTGGCCTGGGGGTAGTACCTGAGGCCATAGATGACACTTGAAGTCAGGTGGCAGCCAAGCTGACGTTCTGGGCACTGAACCCATTTGCAGCACAACCAGGAAGCCCACAGATTGGGGTTTTGGGAGCCTGATGCAGCCATTAAGGAGAGGGGGCTGGCATGAAGAATGCAGTCAGAAGCACAGCTGGAAAAGTAGGGCTCAAAGCAGAGTTTGAGGCCAGGAGGGAGCTGGACTGTGGGAGGGGGTTCAGGTACATGAGAGGAGGGAGTCTGATAAGTCACAGAGGTCACACGGTGACAACCACCTGGGGCTCTGGTCATGCAATCCTCTTTCCCAATTTATGGAGTTCCTGTAAGGGAATTGCTACTGAACCAAAAGAATGATGAGAGCAATACAGATAAACATCAGCTCCTGGGGCCTGGAGGAACAGAGCTTGTAATGGAATCATGAGATTAGCCTTGAGCACTCTCTGAAGTTGATCAAATCGCCACCACATAATAGCCTATAGCCCTTGGGCATCTGGAGTCTTTGGCGCTCTGCTTGGCTTTGTACAGAGTTGAAACAGGATGACATGACATCATCCTGGCCTACAGCAGAGGTCCCAGCCCTTACACCTGGGTGGGGGTGCTGCTCGGAGGTATTGAAGAGATTCTGGGAATCCCTGTGTGTACCCGTGTGTTCTTGATCAGCGGCATAACTATTACCCTGAGGACATTCCACTAATATTTGAAAAACGGGA